>NC_000023.11:33340342-33490699 GCF_000001405.40 Homo sapiens
ATTTGTATTAGGTATTTAGTTTGTTAGGAAAGCTATCCCCCCTACCACAAAAAGTAAACAGACAGCTGGTTTCATAGTTACATTATGAAACTATAAGGAATAACTCATTTAGCATATGTGAAATATGCCAATATCGCTATTCTGAAATAGTGTTTTCCTAAGGGGTTATGGTGTGTGTGTGTGTGTGTGTGTGTGTGTGTGCTTTGTGTGCAAGTACTCATACATTTTAGCTATTCTACTTCCATTTGATTTTTGTATAACAAACACAAATAATCCCTATATATCAAGATATACACAACAATCAGTAACTTATAGTTTATTAGATATAATTTATAAATGCAAGAAATAAACCTGAAAGATAAGTTGAGTCCATATGAATCCACCAAGATTTCTCTAAAATAATATACATATCATTCCACACAACTCTGAAAATACTGGTATATCAATTACTGCTATTTTACATAAAAAGTCTTCGGTGATTAGCATATCTATTTTAGAGATTGAGAATAGCATAAATGCCATGTGTTTTTTTTGTTGTATTCTTGGCTTCTACTAGCCTCTCCAGCTTAAACTCTTGCCTCTCTTCCTCTTTATACTTTATTCCAGCCACAATGGACTTCTATTTTTTCTTCTAAAATGCTGGACTCCTTCCTGTTTCAGATATTTTCCGTATTCTGTTTCATCTATTCATAAGTCTGTCTTGAGGCTTGTGAAAATTAATTTTTTGTAAAAATGTATACAAGTTGTACAACATGTTTCAATATACATATAGTGAAATGATTACTACAGTAAAAGTAATTAACATATCCATCCTCTTACATGGTTACCCTTTTTTTGTGTATTTGGTGATAACACTCAAGATTACTCTCTTAGTGCATACTGTAGTGTTATTAACTATAGCCCCTATCCTGCACATTAGATCTCTAGAACTTATTCATCCTGATAATGAAAACTCTGTGTCCTTTGACCAATATCTTCCCATTCTCCCCCTCCCTCTGCCCTTGGTAACAATCAATCTACCCTCTGCTTCTTTATAGCTGACTGTTCAGATTTTACATGTAAGTGAGATCATGCAGTATTATTCTTCCTATGCCTGGCTTATTTCACTTAGCGTAATGTTCTTCAGGTTCACCCACATTATCACAAATAGCAGGATTTCCTTCCTTTGTAGGCTAAATATTATTTCATTATATTTACATATATCACAATTTCTTTATTAATTTATCTGTTGATGTACACTCAGGTTGTTTTCATGCCTTGGCTATTGTGAATAACTCTGCACTGAACATGGGAGTGCAGATATCTCATCTAGATACTGATTTCATTTCCTTTTTATATATACCCAAAAGAGTGGTAATTTGATCCTAGGGCATTCGTATTTTAACTTTTTGAGGAATCTCCATACTGTTTTCCATAATGGCTATACAAATTTACATTCCCGCCAACAATGTATAAGGATTCCCTTTTATCCACATTCTTGCCAAAACTTGTTATTTTTTTTATCTTTTTGATAATAGCCATCCTAACAAGTTTGAGGTGATATTTCACTGTTGCTTTAATTTGCATTTCCTTGATGATTAGCGCTTTTGAGAATCTTTTCATATACCTGTTGGCCATTTGCATGTCTTCTTTGGAGAACTGTCTATTCAGGGGCTTTGACCATTTTTAATCAGATTTTTTGTTTTTTGTTTGTGTGTTTTGCTTGAGCTCTGAGTTCCTCATATATTTTGGATGAAAGCTGCATATTGGTCATATGGTTTGCTAATATATTCTCCCATTCCACAGTTGTCTCTTCACTCTGTTAATTGTTTCCTATGCTGTACAGAAGGTTTATGGTTTGCCGTAGTACAACTTGTTTAATTTTGATTTTACTGTCTGTGCTTTTCATGTCATATCTAAAAAATCATTGCCAAGACCAATTTCGAGAATTTATTTTTTCATGCACTTTCTTCTAGGAATTTTGTAGTTTCAGGTCTTACATTTAATTCTTTAATCAATTTTTAGCTGACTTTTGTTGTGTGATGTAAGGGTCCAATTTTATTCTTTAGCATGTGTATATCCAGTTTTTCAAACACCATTTATTAAAGAGAATATCCTTTCCTCATAGTGTACTCTTGTTGCCCTTCTCAAAATTTAGTTGACCATATATGAATGGGTTTATTTATGGGCCCTCCATTCTGTTGCATTGGTCTATATGTCTGCTTTTATGCCAGTACTATATTATTTTGATTACTAAAGCTTTGTCATATAATTCAAAATCAGGAAGTGTGATACCTCCAATGTTGCTTATCCTTCTCAAGATTGCTTTGGCTATTCTCTTTCTTTTGTTGTTTCATTTGAATTTTAGATTTTTTTTAAATCTATGAAAAATGCTATTGGCATTTTGATAGAGGTTGTGCTGAATCTGTAAATTGCTTTGAGTAGCATGGACATTTTAACAATATTAATCCTTCTAGTCCATGAACACAGAACATACACCCATTTATTTGCGTCTTTTAAAATTTCTTAAATCAGGCCACGCACGGTGGCTCATGCCTGTAATCCCAGCACTTTGTGAGGCCGAGGCAGGTGAATCACCTTAGGTGAGGAGTTTGAGACCAGCCTGACTAACATGGTGAAACCCCGTCTCTACTAAAAATACAGAAATTAGCCGGACGTAGTGGCGGGCGCCTGTAATCCCAGCTACTCGGGAGGCTGAGGCAGGAGAATCGCTTGAACCCGGAAGATGGAGGTTGCAGTGAGCAGAGATCCCGTCATTGCACTCCAGCCTGGGCGACAGAGCCAGACTCCGTCTCAAAAAAAAAAAAAAAAAAAAAATCTTTAATCAATGCTTTGTAGTTTTCACTGTATAAATATTTCACCATTTTAGTTAAATTTATTCCTCTTTTATTCTTCCTGATGATACTGTAAATGAAATTGTTTTCTAAGTGCCATTAACAGATAAATGGATAAAAAAGTGGTATATATATATATATATATACACACACACACAACGGAACACACAACGGAATATTCATTTATATAAAAAAAACTTACCATTTGCAACAACATGGATAGAACTGAAGGACATTTTGTTAAGTGAAATAAGCCAGGCACAGAAAGACAAATATTACACGTTCTCACTCATATGTGGGAGCTAAAATAATTGATCTCATGGAGGTAGTGAGTACAATAGTGGTTACGAGCGTCTGAGAAGGGAAGTGAAGAGAAGGGGATGAAGAGAGGATAGTTAATGGGTACAATACAAAAGTACAGTTAGATAAAAGAAATAAATTCTAGTGTTTGAGAGCATAGTAGGGCAGCTATAGTTAACATGAATTTATAGTATATTTCAAATTGCCAGAAGAGAAGATTTGGAATGTTCCCATTACAAAGAAATGATAAATATTTGAGATGATGGACATCCTAATCACCTTGATTCGATCATTACACATTGTATGTATATATTGGAATATCACATGTACCCCATAAATGTGTAATGTATCAATAAAAAGCTAAATCTAAACATTTTATTGATTTCCTTTTCAAAATGAAATCAACTGATTTCATTTTTAGAGAAAAGAAATGCTACCAATATTTGTATGTTGATTTTGTATCTAGCAATTTTACTGAATTCATTGATTAGTTCTGACAAATTTTTAATGAAATCATTAGGGCTTTCTACATATAGAATCGTGGCATCTACAAACAGATAATTTTACTTCTTCCTTTCCAATTCCACTGCCTTTTATTTCTTTCTCTTGCCTAATTGCTCTGACTAGGACTTCCAATACTATGTTGAACAGAAGTGTTGATCATGGGAATCCCTGCATTGTACCAGATCTTAGAGGAAAAGCTTTCAATTTTTTCCCCGTTGGTTACAATGTTAGCTATGAGTTTTTCATAAATGGCCTTTATTATGTTGATGCAAGATCATTCTACACTTATTTTGTTGACAGTTTTCAATTTACCCATGAATACATGTTGAACTTTTTCAAATGGTTTTTTCTGCATCTATTAAGATGGTCATGTGGTTCTTGTCTTTTACTCCGTTTATGTGATATATCACATTGATTGATTTGCATGCCATACCAACCTTGCATCTTGGAGATAAATCCCACCTGATCATGGTATATAATCCTTTTGATGTACTGTTGAATTTGTTTTGCTAGTATTTTATTGAGGATTTTTGGATCTATACACATCAGAGTTACCCTCCTGTAGTGTTCTTTTATTGTGGTATCTTTGCCTGGCTTTGGTGCCAGTGTGATTCTGGCTTCATAAAATGAGTTTGGAAGTGTTTCCTCTTCTCATTTTTTTTTTTTTTTTTTTTTGCAAGAGTTAAAGAAGAATTGGTATTAATTATTTTTGAATGTTTGATAGAATAAATCTGTGAAGGTATCTGGTCCAGTGGTTTTCTTTGTTGAGAAATTTTTCATTACTGCTTCAATCTCTTTGTTAATGGTCTGTTCAGACTTTCTATTTCTTCTTGATTCAGCCTTAGTAAGTTGTACGTTTCCAGGAATTTATCAATTTCTAGACTATCTGATTTTTTAAGACATAGCTGCTCATAATAGATCCTGATGATCCTTATTACTTCTGAGGCATCAGCTATAACGTCTCCCCATTCTTTATTTCAGTCTTTCTTTTATTCTTAGTATATATAAGGGTTTGCTGATTTTATCTTTTCAAAAAACCAACCGTTAGTTTTTATTTTTTATATTGTTTTTCTATTCTCTATTTGACTTACTTCTGCTCCAATCATTATTATTTACTTCCTTATACTAACTTTGGGCTTAGTGTCTTCTTTCTCTTCTAGTTCCTTGAGGCATAATGGTAGATTGCTGATTTAAAATCATTCTTTTTAAATGTATATGTTTAGAGCTATAAACGTCCTCCTCAGTACTGTTTTTTCTGCATTCCATAAGTTTTGATATCTTTTTAACATTATTTTTTGTCTGAAGATATTTCTTAAATACTCTTCTAATTTTCTCTTTGACACAATGGTTGCTCAAGAGTGTGTGGCTTAGTTTCTATGTATTAGTCTATTTTCCCATTCTCTTGCTGTTACTGATGTCCAGTTTCATTCCACTGTGGTCAGAAAAGATACTTGGTGTGATTTTTATATGCTTAAATTTATTTATTAAGAGTTATATTGTGAGCATGCCCTCTTTAATCAATTCTGTTCAACATAGCACCGGAAGTCCTAGTCAGAGCAATCAGACAAGAGAAAAAAATGAGTGGCAAACAAATTGGAAAAGAAGTCAAACTGTTGTTGTATGCTGATAATATCATGTACCTAGAAAACCCTGATAAACAAATTCAGTAAAATTTCAGGATACAAAATCAATGTACACAAATCAATAGCACTGCTACACACCAACAATGACCAAGCTGAGAATCAAATCAAGAATCCAACCCCTTTTACAACAGCTGCAAAAAAAAAAAAAAGCAAAATGCCTAGAAATAAACTTAACCAAAGAGGTAAAAGTTATCTACAAGGAAATATGCAAAGCACTGCTGAAAGAAATCATAGATGGCACAAACAAATTGAAACATCCCATGCTCATGGACAGGAAGAATCAACATTGTGGAAATGACTATACAGCCAAAAGCAATCTGCAGATTCAGTACAATCCCATCAAAATACCATCATCATTCTTCACAGAACTAGAAAAAAATCCTAAAATTCATATTGAACAAAAAAAAAGAGCCCACAAAGCCAAAGCAATAGTAAGCAAAAAGAACAAATCTGGAGGCATCACATTACCCAACTTCAAATTACACTATGTGGCTACAGTTACCAAAACAATGGTAGTGGTATGAAAATAGGCACGTAGACCAATGGAACAGAACAGAGAACCTAGAAATGAAGCCAAATACTTATAGCCAACTGATCTTTGACAAAGCTTATAAAAGCATAAATTGGGGAAGGGACACCCTATTCAATAAATAGTGCTGGGAAAACTAGTAAACCACATGTAGAAGAATGAAACTGGATCCTTATCTCTCACCTTATACAAAAATCAACTCAAGATGAATCAAAGACTTAAATCTAAGACCTTAAAGTATAAAAATTCTAGAACATAACATCAGAAAAACTCTTCTGGGCATTAGCTTAGGCAAATAATTCATAACTAAGGCCCCCAAAGCAAATGCAACAAAAACAAAAATAAGTAAATTAGACCCAATTAAACTAAAAAGCTTCTGTATAGCAAAAGAAATAATCAGCAGAGTAAAGAGACAACCCATAGAGTGGGAGAAAATCTTTTCAAGCTCTGCATCCGACAAAGGACTAGTATCCAGAGTCTATGAGGAACTCAAATCAGCAAGAAAAAAAAGTCTCATCAGAAAGTTATCAAAGGACATGAATAGACATTTCTCAAAAGGAGATATACAAACAGTCAACAAATACATGAGGAAATGCTCAACATCACTAATTATCAGGGAAATGCAAATTAAAACCACAATGAGCTGCCACCTTATTTCTAAAAGAATGACCATAATTAAAAAGTCGAAAAACAATAAATGCTGGCATGGATGTGGTGAAAAGGGAACACTTTTAAACTCCTGGTGGGAAAAGAAATTAGTACAACCATTATGTAAAACAGTATGGAGATTCCTTAAAGAACTAAAGTAGAACTAACATTTCATTCACCAATCCCACTACTGGGTATCTACCCAAAGGAAAAGAAGTCACTATATGAAAAAGACACATGTGCAGACATGTTTATAGCAGCACAATTCACAATTGCAAAGATATGAAACCAACTAAGTGCCCATCAACCGAGTGGATAAAGAAAATGTATATATACACCATGGAATACTATTCACCCACACAAAGGAATGAAATAATGGCCTTCGCAGCAACTTGGATGGAGCTGGAGGCCATTATTCTAAGTGAAGTGACTCAGGAATAGAAAACCAAATATAGTATGTTCTTACTTATAAGTGGGAGGTAAGCTATTAGGACACAAAGGCATAAGAATGATGTAATGGACTTTGGGAACTTAGTGGGGAACGTTGGGAGGGGATTGAGGGGTAAAAGACTACATATTGGGTACAGTGAGCATTGCTTGGGTGATGGGTGCACTAAAATCTCAGAAATCACCACTAAATAACTTATGCATGTAGCCAAAACCCACCTGTACCCCAAAAATAATTGAAATAAAAAAAAGTTGTGTTGTGACTTAACATGTAATCTATCCTGGAGAATGTTGTGTGTGTGTGTTTGAGAAGAATGTGTTTTCTCCTACTGTTGGATGGAATGTTCTATGTATGTCTGTCGGTCCATTTATTCTCTAATTTTGTTCAAGTACACTCTTTATTAATTTTCCATATGAATGTTCTGTACGTTATTAAAAGTAGGATATTGAAGTCTCTTACTAATATTGTTTTGCTGTATATTTCTCCTTTCAGATCTGTCAGTATATGCTTCATATACTTAGGTGCTCTGACAGTGAGTGCATATAGATTTGCTCTTGTTATATCTTTCAGTTGATTTCACCCTTTTATTATTATATAATAACAGTCTTTCTCTAGAGTTTTTGTTTAAACTTAAAGTCTATTTTGTGATAAAGTATGGCCACTTCTGCTTTTTTTTTTTTTTTTTTTTTTGAGACAGAGTCTCACTCTGTCACCCAGGCTGGAGTGCAATGGCATGATCTTGGCTCAGTGCAACCTCTGCCTCCTGGGTTCAAGCGATTCTCCTGCCTCAGCCTCCCAGGTAGCTGGGATTACAGGCGCCCGCTACCATGTCTGGCTAATTTTTGTGTTTTTTTAGTAGAGATGACGTTTCACCATGTTGGCCAGACTGGTCTTGAACTCCTGACCTCAGGTGACTGGCCTGCCTTGGCCTCTCAAAGTGCTGGGATTACAGGCATGGGCCACCATGCCTGGCCTACTCCTGCTTTCTTTTGGTCACTATTTCCATGGAATATATTTTTCCATTCCTTCACTTTCAGCATGTGTTTCCTTGAATCTAAAATAAGTTTCCTTAGACAACATATATTTGGATACTTTTTAAAATTCATGCAGGCCCACTATATTTTTTGATTGGGGAGTATAATCCACATTTATTTAAAGTAATTATTGATCAGAAATGACTTGATATTGCCATTTTGAAATTTTATTTTTATTTATTTATATGTTTTTGTAGAGACAGGGTCTTGCTATGTTGTCCAGGCTGGTCTTGAACTCCTGGCCTCAAGAAATCCTCCTGCCTTGGCCTCCCAAATTGCTGAGATTACAGACATGAGCTACCACACCTGGCCTGACTATTGCCATTTTGTTATTTGTTTTTCATGTAGTAATTTTGTCCTTTTTTCTCTTGCTGTTTTCCTTCATGATTTGCTGTTGTTGTTTTTTTGCATTGATAGGCTTTGATTCTTTCCTTTTTTTCTTTTATGTAACAATGATAGGCTTTTTCTTTGTGGTTACCATGGAGTTTACATAAAATATCTTATAATAATCTATATTCAGCTGATAGCAGTTTAACTTCATGTACACACAACAACTCCAGACTTTTACCTCTCCTTCCCCATTTTATGCCAGTGATAAAACAATTTTCTTGTATTTATTTTATGTATCCATTAATGTTATCTATTTATGGTTATTTTTAATACTTTTGACTTTTAACTTTTATAGTATAATTAAAACAATTTACCCAACACTGTTATAGTAATACAGTATTCTGTTTTTCTCTATGTATTTACATTTACCAATGGGTTTTATACTTTCATATGCTCTAGTGTTACTGTTTAGTGTCTGTTAATTTCAATTTGAAGAACTCCCTTTAGTATTTCTTATAAGGCAGTTCTAGTGCTGCAGGACACCCTCAGCTTTTGCTTGTCCAAGAAAATCTCTTGCCATCGTTTTTGAAGGACAAGTTTGCTAAATATAGTATTTTTGGTAGACAGTTTTCTTTCTCTTCTGGCTTGCAGCTTCCCCTCACGTTTGTCTACCTTCCATCCAATCTTTAGGTATAATCTTGAAATATAATTTTCTGTGCGAGGCATTATTGATCCCCAGATAAAATTATATTCTGCTACGCAATTTCACAGCACCTTGTATTTCCTCTATCTTCATAATAGTAATGGCATATACTATACAACATGGGGGAATAGGCACTGTTATAAAATTATATACGCACAAAACATATGTGTGTGTGTGTGTCACTTTGTCTATCCATCCGTCTACCTATCTACTTATCCATAATTCATTTATATATTCTCATTAAATCCTTACTCTGAACCTATGAGGGCGACTCTTACATGCATTTTATAGATAAGGAAACTGAGGCACAAAAAACTTTAAAAAGTTGGCCAAGTCTACCTTCTCAGCACAGTAGGCAGCAAGTCAGTCTTGTAAAAACCTGGCCAGGCCACACAACTTTATTTAATTGTTTGTATTTCCTGGTATACTATCAGTTCTCGAAACTGGATATTATGTTTGTCTTGTTAATTGCTAAATCCTAATGTCTAGGATGGTACCCGAAAAGTTGTGTTTCATGAATTCACTTATCCAGTAGAACTTGCTTTATGAAATGTTCTGTACTAAGCACTGTTGATATGGAGATGATTAAAATAAACATGGATTCTGTGTTGCTGGCATTTGTGAACTAGTACTAAACTCAGGTCCAAGGGTTCATAGACAGAACTGAGAAATGTTCATTGGGATGAAAGAAATACTACATCTTTATTTTCATCAATGTCTCATTAAAATGTAGCAGTATTTTTATTTATTTTTGTAGGTTATAAACCATAGTAGTATTAGAAGTACCTGTGACTTTTGTTACTAAAAGGAGTAACAAATATTTCATATCATTTTATAGAAGCTGTATAAATCTTAAAATATTTTTACATTCATGACTACTTTGGCATTATGGTTGTTATTAAGCCCACAAATATATATTGTTATTTAATGTGTTAATAAAGAAGTATGCATATTATTATATTACAACTTTTAAATCTTTAGAAAACCGTATTTCGATACAACTAGTTTCTGTTGTAATCCTAAATGTTTTATCTTGCATATGTAATAAAATTCAGACACACTTCACAAGATGTGAAAGGCTTTAAAGGAACAGGTCTTTAAATTTCACCACATGTCAAAGAATCCCTGGTTTAGGGGATAGGAGAATATAGCATTTTAGAATCCCTGGTCTAGGGGATAGGAGAATATAGTGTATTTTTAATAGCACTGTCTCCATAGTCAGACTACTTGGGTTCAAATTATTGATAGGTGACTTACAATTGATGTGTTCTATGGCAAGTTACTTAACCTCAGTTTATTCTTCTGTAAAATAGGAATAATAATTGCTCCTTTGCATTCTTGTGATAATACATTAAGAAAATGATTGTAAAATACTTAGTATAATGCCTGACATCTATTTCACTTTTAATAAATGTTACATATCATTAGCAAGAGAGTTAGATACTAAAGGGTTATGAAAAATAAGATTATAAAAAGAAATACAAAGTATTAACAAAGATTTTTGGAACTGGAACTCATATACACTACTGATGGAAATGTAAAATGGTAAAAAACTACTCTGAAAAATAGTTTGGCAATTTTTGAGAAACCTAAACGTATACATACTGTAAGAGTCATGCTTCCTACTTGAAATGAAAGCATATGCCCATACAGATTTATCCAAGAGAAAAAGAAAGCATTAGCCACCATAAAAGCTTATACATGAATTTTCATAGCAGCTATATTTGTAATAACCCTAACTGAAAATGACCCACATGTTTACCAATGTCTAACTGGATAAATAATTGTAGTATATCTATATAATGTAATGCTACTTTGCCATGGAAAGGACTGGAAACTTGATGCATTTAACCATGTAAATAAATTGCAAAACAATGATACTAACTGAAGGAAGCCAAACAAAAAGAGTACATACCGTATGCTTTCATTCATACAAAACTCTAGAAAATGTAAATATATCTGCAGTGACAATAAGCATATCAGTGGCTGCCTAGGGAAGGTGGGGGTGATAGATGAGGAGGAGGAGCTACAAAAGGGAAACTTTTTGGATAATAGATATATTTACTATCTTTGTTGTAGTGATGGTTTCATGTATGTGTGTGTGTGTGTGTGTGTATATATATATATATAACATTTTAAATATGTATGGTTTATTGTATGTAAGTTATACCTAAAAAATCCTAAAAATAACACTTAAAAAACTCCTTTTATTATATTTTAGAGTATTCCTATTAATTTAACAAAATAGTTAAAATATAACAATCACTTCCTTAAAAGATAATCTACAAAACTTCATATAGAAATAATGCATGCGGTAAATAATTTTATCAACTGCATATAACGCTGAACATCCCAACGAAATAATTTTTCTCACCACTTGTTATTTGCAGTTCTTTATGCCATCATTGAACAATGTTGCAATTGATTATTGTCCAATAACAAGAGTATAATTTTGTCCCATTTAACATATATAATTTTATCTATTGTGAGCACCTAAGCCAGTAAAATAAATTATTAGTCTGGTTATAAAATGGTCAGCTGCATAAAATCTAAGGTATTGATCAATATTAGCTTGTTGCCATATAATTCTATGTTATGTGAAACCTTGGAATAAGCTTCCTTTGTTAAACAATGATTAAATGTTGAATAACTTGATTTTATAAGTTATCCTTATTTCACAACAATGGATACCATATCAAACTCAATGATTATTTAGGGGAGAAGAGGACTAAGGAAAAGTCAGGCACTGAAAATAATAAAATTTATTCACCCATAAAATTTTCTCACATGGCATTTTAAATATGTTAATATATTTTTAAAAAGCCAGATAACTAAACTTATAAAAATTATCACATCTGTGAAGTTGTAGTTGGATTAAGGAAAAGTAGAAAATCCTGGCCTTATTATTCTATTTTAACACTCACTCCCTACCCAGCCTAAATCAGCCAAAGGATATTTTTAAAACACAGATACACATAAAATATCAGATTATGTCTCTGTCTCAAATCTCTTCAGTGGCTTCTCAATACCTTTAGAACAAAAGTCCTTACTATAGCCTGTAAGATCACAAATAATATGTCCCCTTACTTTCCTTTTTTTTTTTTTTTTTACTTTGCTCTAATCCCACTGATAGTCTTATTTCTCTTCTAACTTATGAAACTTATTTCCCCTTGGGACATTTCATTAACTCTTCCTTCCTACCAAGAATATCCTTCCGCAGATATTGCAAGACTCACTTCTTTCTTTGTAGTCTCTGCAAAAATGTCACCTCCTCAGAAGGCCCATTTTTTACTTGTGTCTTTAACACTTCCATGACCTTGATCCATTTCTCTTTTTTTTGCTTCACTTTTCCTTTCAGCACTTATCACCACCTGGTATCAAATTATTAATCAGTCAGCCCAGTGATTTTCTCTCTCGGCAGAATACAAACTCCATGATGGGTGTTCCATCGTATGCCTCATTCACCGCTCCATCTCTGGCATGTTAAATAAAAATAACAAAACCAAACAAAAACCAACCAACCAAACAAAAGACATTTGGCACAGAGTCAGCACAAAATGAATATTTGTTAAATAAATGAATGGAAAAATAGTTAATATATAGGATTACTGTTATTATTTGGCTTCCAATAGGTGACTTTAGAAAGCTGTCTATACTCACAGGTTTTTCTCACAATATACGGGAATACATGTTTCCACTGGAAATAACAGAAGTTACTGTAAAAAATCGAGGAATTTTCTTCCAGAAAACTATCTAGACAGGACCTAATATACTAAGTTTATTAGGTCTCTACCTACAACAATATTTCACCACCATAATTATTACAAGGGAATAACTAATATATGATATTGTGAATCACCTATCTATTAATTTGCACACATTTATTAAGCACTTATTTTATGCTAGACACTTTTCTGGGTGTTGGGAATACCACTGTCCTCGTAGAGTTTGTGGTTTTGTGGGATAGATAGATATTAGACAAATAAAAGTCTGATAAGAACTAGGGGCATCAATACAGAATTTTTAGAAGCATACAGTTATAGGGCTAATTTTATCATAGAAAATTCTTCTTAAACGTACAACTAAAGGATAAATAATAATTGCATGGGTCAAGAGATAAAAGCAGAGAGTACTATAGGAAGAGGAAATAAAGCAGGAAAACATTCAAAAACTGAACAAAGTCCTCCATGCCTGGAGCATGGTGAATGTGGGGGAGAGTGAAGCGTGATGAATAAGATTAGGGTCTCAATCTAGGTAGTTGTAGATTATGTGGGGCTTCTCTTCTTTGTTAGCAATGGTAAAGATCCTGGAGTTTATTGTAAGTACATTGGAAAGCCACTTAAAGTTGTTAAGTCAATGAGTTACATGACTAAATTTGGTAACAAACATAAGCGTGAATGTACTGGTAAGAATGAATTAAAATGAGGCGGGCAGTAATTCTAGATGCACATAGGCTTGTTAAAAGACAGTTTCAGAATATCAGGAAATATAATTTGACTAGATTGCTAGCAAAGAAGATAGAAAGAAATGATGAGATTCCAGAGATGTTAAGAAGGGAGACTTGATAGAACAAGGTGATTGCTTCGAAATTGAGGAGGGTTCAGGGATATGAAGGAGTAAGCATGTACTTTCATGTTTTCAACTTGAGCAATTAAGAGAATGGTGGTGTATTTTCTGGAAAAGCCAGGTTGGAAAGGGAATGATGGCTTCAATTTTGTTTCTGTTGAGTTTGCGATACTTGGGAGACCTTTAAGCAAAGATGTACAGGAGAACACAGATATTAGGGTCTGGATTTCAGAAGACATAAACATTTAAGATGTGGCAGTGTTTGATGGTAAATGAAGCCATATATCTGGACAAAATAAAGACAGAGTAAGCCAGGAGAAGAGACAAGAGCCTAGGATGGCACCCTGAGGAACTCTAACAATTAATGCTTGGGTAGAGAAGAATGAGATTGTCAGGATTTTGAGAAGGAATGTTCAGAGAACAAGAAAAAAAGTAAATAGATATGGTGCTATGGAAGTTAAGGGGATAGAAATTTAAAGAAAGAGGAAATTGTCAACTTTGTCAAATATGGTTGGGAGATACTTCTTTATCTGCATGTTGTTTTAGTTACTGGAAGAGATACATTAAGATATCCAATATGATTGTTGATTTGTCCAGATCTCTATTTAGCTGTTAATTTTGCTTTATCCATTTTGAAGGTACATTATTAAAATTGTATTTTTCTATATATCCTATTGATTCGACCCATTTTTTCAAGGTGAAATGCTTTGCATCTCTTATTATATTTCTTGCCTGATACTAATATAAACAAATTAATATTTTGGGGGTTAGAGGTTACATGCATCTGGAGACCTATCTGTGTCATTATAAAGTAGTTTTATTCTAAACAACCCAGGGCTGTTTTTTTTTTTCTCAGTATTACAATTTTTGTATTTTAACCAAAGTGTTTAATATATAATCTATCATCTTGTTATTTTCTCTTCATCCTATTTTTTTCTTTATTTTTCTACTCTACCATTTTTGCTACTCTTAATTATTTTACTTCTACATATAGTGGATACCCTACATTCATTGCTATTATTGTTTCTTTAAACAGTCAGTTGTTTTTTATATTTACCAATATTTTTACTATTCATAAGAAGCTCATTTATTTTTGCATGTCTGTTTTTCATCCACTACCATTTTCCTTCAATCTGCAAAATGTGTTTTAGAAAATACATTGGTGTACAACTACTGGTGTGATGGTTAATATTGAGTGTCAACTTGAAAGGATTAAAGGATGCATAGTATTGTTCCCGGGTATGTCTGTGAGGGTGTTGCCAAAGGAAAGGAGACTAACATTTGAGTCAGTGGACTGGGAGAGGCAGACCCATCCTCAATCTGGGTGGGTACCATCTAATCAGCTGCCAGCGTGGCTAGAATAAAAACAGGCAGAGGAACATGGAAGGCCTAGACTGGCTAAATCTCCTGGCCTGCATCTTTCCCCTGTGCCAGGTGCTTCCTGTCCTTGAACAGCAGACTCCAAGTTCTTCAGCTTTTGGACCCTTGGACTTACACCAATGATTTGCCAGTGGTTCTTGTACCTTCAGCCAGACTGAAGGCTGCACTACTGGCTTTCCTATTTTTGAGGTTTTGGACTTGGACTAGCTTCCTTCTCCTCAGCTTGCAGACGGCCTATTGTGGGACTTCACCTTGTGATTGTGTGAGTCATTTCTCCTAATAAACTCCCCTTCATATATTCATTTATCCTATTAGTTCTGTCCCTTTAGAGAAACCTGACTAATACAACTAGTGATAAGTTATCTCAGCATTTGGATAACTGAGACTATCTTTATTTTACCTTCATTTAAAAAATACTGTCTATTTTGCATGATTGCAGATTTGTATGCAGTTGTAAGAAATAATACAAAAAGATCTTTTTTACCTTTCAACCAGTTTCTCCCAATGATAACATCTTGCATAGTTACAGTACAATATCACAAACAGGAAATTGACAGTGAGACAATCTTATTCAGATTGCTCCAGTTTCACATAGTCATTTCTGTGAGTGTGTGGGTATTATTTTCAAAGAAATTTTATCACATATATATGTTGGGTGACTACCACCAAGTTCCATCACAAGAATCCCTTGTGCTACCCTTTCACTGTCACAAACACTTCCCCCTTAATTTCTGGCATCTAAAGAAGCTAGAAAAAGGAGAGAAACATAAATCCAAAGCAAGAAAAAAGGAAGGAAACAATAAAGACAAGGGCAGAAATAAAAAATGTTGAAAATCCAAAAACCATAGAGAAATATAATTGAAACAAAAGATGGTTCTTTGAAAAAAATCAATACAATTGATAAACTCTTAGCAATAGTGACAAAGATCAAAAAGAGACAAGACGCAAATCATCAATAACAATAATGAAACAAAAGATATCACTGCAAATCTTAAAGCTCTTAAGAGGATAATAAGATAACACTATGAGCAATGTTACACTAACAAATTCCACAAATTAAAAGAATTGGAACAAGTCCTTAAAAATCAGAAGCTACCACAACTCAGCAAAGATGAAAGAGAGAACATGAATAGTCTTGTGGATATTAAAGGAATTGAATGCATTAATTTAAAATCTGCAGAATAAGGAATTTCTAGGCCCAGATGATTTCTCTGGAGAATTCTACCAAACACTTGAAGAATTAGGCCAAGACTGGATCCAAGATGGCCAGCTAGATGCAGCCAGAAGAAACATTTTCCATTGAGAGACTGGGATATCAAGAAGATTGGCACACTCCTAGCAGATCATCAGAGTAAAGGTATTGAGAGCAAACAGAGGGAAGACACAGACACTGGGATGAAGGTGAAGGAAGATGGGAACCCTGCACAGGGCTACTGAGCACTGGGACTCATTCCTGGCACCCAACGACTCCTGCGGAGAGAGTGAGTTGAACAGGCAAGGAGCAACCCGCTATTGCCATATAGGCCTCTGGAATTCTGGCAGGAGGAGACTCCTCGACCACTACGGACACTTAAGTTATCAGGGAGAGCTGCTTAGAGACGTGGTAGAGGCAGAACTCCAGCCGAGGTGGAGCCCAAAGGATTTGGTGCAGGAGCATCTGCAGCGGAGCACGGCCAGGGGCACCCATCCCCCTAGGCTCTCTATGTTCCCATAGGAGACTTTAGCCCTAGAAGAACTGTCAGACCTGAACTCTGTAGGGTGGTCTTGCCCATGAGACCGGGTGGTCTGACCTGAGCACGCCTTAGTCAGTTGGCCTCTCCCAGGACCTGCAACCTGGCCATGCCTGCATGCAGTGCAGCCCCCAGGTACTTCCTGGGGGCCTGTATCATAGCTCCTGCACTGGCAGACCGCGCCTTACCAGCAGAGTGCTTCAGCAAAGTGGCCTCTGGACACACACAAGCCCGCCTGCACCCTCCTGCACTGCAGCCTCTCCGATGCTACTTTGCCTGCAAGCACTCACCCATGCCCACCCCCACATCACAGTGCCAGCATGTATGTGTGCAGGTGGACCTTGATTTCTCTTCCTTGTTAGTGCACGTGTGTGTGTGTGTGTGTGTGTGTGTGTCTGCTGTGCCACTGCTGCCAGCATGAGTGCACCCCACCCTCGCTGTCACTGCTGCACCGCCATTGTCACTGGAGTACTGGTGAGCATCAAGCCTACCAGACCTACCCCCGCCAGTGCTCTGAGCCTATGCTGACACTGCTGCTGGTAAGAAACCAGGCGCACAAAAAAGAGGACTTGCCCCCGGCCCTAAGTGACCGCCACTGCCAGTGTGAATGTACACAGAGTGTGCACACAGTACTGTGCCCAACAGCACCCTGTCCTCATACTAACACCATGATCGGTGCAAATGTATGCACATTTGCCAGAGGGGACTCCCTGCCCCTCCAAGCCATACTGCTACTGCTGCTGCTGTGATGCCTGCAGAGAGGCCAGCATCCTTGCACTCACTAGCACCCTGCCACTGCCAAGGAATGTGCATTCCACCTTGCTGCTCCTGCCACTGCTGCCAGCACATACAAGTGAAGACAGATCTCAGGACACTGCCCAATGAAGTGCTTTGGCTGGCACCACCCATTAGGGCGTTGTGATGAGAAGCCTGGGAGCACTTCGCCCCCTCCAGCACAGCAAGTTTTAATCTCAAGGAACCAAAGAACAAAACTGGGTCCCAATACTATTCTCCCAGAATTAGGGCAAGCAGTCCAGGAGTCCTGAGCTGAGCCTTGGCCCCTTAAAATCTTCTAATAATTAAGCCAGTTGACTGAAGAAATCTTATACAACAATCAAACCCCAAAGGGCACCAAATGGGATAAAAGAAAAAAAATCCAAAGAACAGCAACTTCAAAGATTGAAGGAACATTAGCCCACAAAGATGAAAAAGAACCAGCACAAGAACTCCGGCAACTCAAAAAACCAGAGTGCCTTCTTTCTTCCAAACAGCTACACTAGTTCTTCAGCAAGAGTTCTTAAATGGGCTGAGATGGCTGAAATGACAGAAATATAATTAAGAATATGTATAGAAATGAAGATCATGAAGATTCAGAAGAATGTTGAAATCCAATCCAAGGAAGCTAAGAGTCATGAAAAAGTGACACAAGAGCTGACAGACAAAATAGCCAGTATAGAAATGTACGTAATCAACCTTATAGAGCTGAGAAAACACTCTACAAGAATTTCATAAGACAATTGTTAAGTATTAACAGCAGAATAGACCAAGCAGAGGAAAGAATCTTAGAGCTTGAAGACTGGATTTGTGAAATAAGGCAGTCAGTTAAGAATAAAGAAAAAAAATGAAAAGGAACGACAATAACAAAACATTCCAAGAAATATAGGATTATGTGAAGAGACAAAATCTATGACTCATTGGCACCCCTGAAAGGGATGGGGAGAATGGAAGCAACTTGGAAAACATATTTCAGGATGCCATTCATGAGAATTTACCCAACCTAGCTAGAGAGGCCAACATTCAAATTTAGGAAAGGCAGAGAACCCCCACAACATACTTCACAAGAAGATCATACCCAAGGCACATAATCATCAGATTCTCTAAGGGCAAAATAAAAGAAAAAAATGTTAAAGGTAGCTAGAAAGAAAGGACAGGTCATCTGTGAAGGGAAGCCCATCACACTAACAGAAGACCTCTCAGCAGAAACTCTACAAGCCAGAAGAGATTAGGGACCTATATTCAACATTCTTAACATGAAGAAATTCTAGGCAAGCATTTCATATTCAGACAAACTAAGCTTTATAAGTGAAGGAAAAACAAAATCATTTTCAGACAATCAAATGCAGAGAGAATTTGTTACCAGTAGACCTTCCATAAAGAGCTCCTGAAAGAAGCACTGAATATAGAAAGACTGTTACCAGCCACTACAAAAACACACTGAAGTAAACAGACCAGTGACACTACAAAGCAACCACATGAATAAGTCAGCATAATAAACAGCTAACAACATGATGACAGGATCATATCCACACATATCAATACTAACCTTAAATGTAAATGGGCTAAATGCTCAAATCGAAAGGCACAGAATGGCAAGCTGGATAAAGAAGCAACACCCAAAGGAATGCTGTCTTCAAAAAACCCATCTCACATGCAATGACACCCATAGGATCAAAATACAGGGATGAAAAAAAATCTACCAAGGAAATAGAAAACAGAAAAAAGCAGGGGTTACAATCCTAATTTCAGACAAAACAGACTTTAAACCAACAATGATAAAAAAAAAAAGAAGGACATTGCATAATTGTAAAGGGTTCATTTCAACAAGAATATTTAACTATCCTAAATACATATGTATCCAACACAGGAGCACCCAGATTCACAAAGCAAGTTCTTAGAGACTTTCAAAGACACTTAGACTCCCACACATTAATAGTGGGAGACTTCAACACCCCTCTGATAGTATTAAACAGATCAACAAAGCAGAAAACATATACATTTAAGACCTAAACTCTACTGTGGGCCAAATGTTTCTGAGAGACATCTACAGAACTCTACACCCCAAAAAACAGAATGGGCTGGGCGCGGTGGCTCAAGCCTGCAATCCCAGCACTTTGGGAGGCTGAGGCCGGTAGATTACCTGAGGTCAGGAGTTCAAGACCAGCCAGACCAACATGGTGAAACCCTGTCTCTACTGAAAATACAAAATTAGCCGGGTATGGTGGTGCATGCCCATAATCCCAGCAACTCGGGAGGCTGAGGCAGAAGAATTGCTTGAATCTGGGAGGCAGAGGTTGCAGTGAGCTGAGATCACACCACCGCACTCCAGCCTGGGCAACAAGAGCAAAACTTCATCT
This sequence comes from Homo sapiens, assembly GCF_000001405.40. NCBI lineage: Eukaryota > Metazoa > Chordata > Mammalia > Primates > Hominidae > Homo > Homo sapiens. The sequence goes on from NC_000023.11 coordinate 33,360,126, forward strand.
CAAAAAATAAATAAATAAAAAAACCAGAATGTACATTCTTCTCATCTGCATATGGCACATACTCCAAAATCAACCACACAATCAGACATAAAATAATCCTCAGCAAATGCAAAAGAACCAAAACCATATCAGCTACTCTCTCAGACCACAGCACAACAAAAATAGAATTCAAGACTAAGAAATTACTCAAAACCATACAGTTACATGGAAATTAAACAACCTGCTCCTGAATGACTCCTGGGTAAATAAAGAAATTAAGGCAGAAGTCAGGAAGTTCTTTGAAACTAATAATGAGAACAAAGGTATAACATACCAGAATTTCTGGGCCACAGCTAAGGCAGTGTTAACAGGAAAATTTGTAGCACTAAATGCCCACATCAAAAAGTTAGAAATATCTCAAATGAACAACCAAACATTACAACTAAAAAAAAAAAAACTAGAGAAGAAAGACCAAACCAACCCCAAAGCTAGAGGAAGACAAGAAATAATCAAAATCAGAGATGAACTGAAAGAGACTGAGACATGAAAAACCATTTGAAAGATCAATGAAGCTAGGAGCTGGGTTTTTTTTTGAAAAAAAAAGACAAATAAACTGCTCACTAAATTAATAAATAAGAATAGATAGAATATCCAAATAAACACAATCAGGAATGACAAATGGGATATTACCATTGACCCCACAGAAATAACCATCAGAGACTATTATGAACACCTCTATGCACAGAAACTAGAAAATCAAGAAGAAATGGATACATTCCTGGACACATACACCCTCCAAAAATTGAACCAGGAAGAAAATGAATCTCTGAATAAATAACAGACAAATCCCTGAACAGACAAACAACAGATAAATAAAGAGATCCAAGAATGAATTGATAATAAGTAAGCAACCTGCCAACCAAAAAAAAAAAAAACAAAAAAACAAAAAACCAAAAACCCAGGACCAGATGGATTCACAGCTGAATTCTACCGGAAGAGCTGGTACCATTCCTACTAAAATGATTCAAAAAATTAAGGAGGAGCGACTCCTCCCCAGCTCATTCTGTGAGGCCAGCATCATCCTGATAACCAAAACCTGGCAGAGACACAGCAAAACAAGAAAACTTCAGGTCAATATCCTTGATGAACATCATGCAAAAATTCTCAAAAAATACTACCAAACTGAATCCAAGAACACATCAAAGATCTCATCCACCACGATCAGGTAGGCATGTGGCTGGTGTATAGGAATTCTATTCATTTTTGTATGTTGACTTTCTATTCTGAAACTTTGCTGAAGTTGTTTATCAGCTTAGGAATCTTTTGGGCCAAGACTATGGGCTTCTCTAGATATAGAATCATGCCATCTTGGTATATGTTTCATGGGCACTTAAAAAGATTGTATATTTTGCAGTTGTTGAGTATTCTAAAAATATCAAATAGAACTTGTTGGTTAATGGTATTGCTAAGTTTTTCTATATCCTCGATTCAATGATATGCCTATGAAACTTAACATTGGCATTCTTCACAGAACTAGAAAAAACTAATTTAGAATTCATATGGAAGCAAAAAAGAGAACAAAGAGCCAAGGCAATCCTAAACTAAAAGAACAAAGGTAGAAGCATCACACTAACTGATTTCAAAGTATACTACAGGGCTATATTAACCAAAACCGCATGGTACTGGTACAAGAACAGATACATGGACCAATGGAACCGCATAGAGAACCCAGAAATAAGACCACACACCAACAACAATCTGACAATCTAGGCAATACCACTCAGGACATAGGCATGGGCAAAGATTTCATAATGAAGATGCCAAAAGCAATTGCAACAAAAGCAAAAATTGGCAAATGGAATCAATTAAACTAAAAAGTTTTTGCACAGCAAAATAAACTATCAACAGAGCAAACAGAAAACTTACAGAACGGAAGAAAAAATTTGAAAACTATGCAACTGACATAGGTCTAATATAAAGCATCTATAAGTAATGTAAACAAATTTGCAAGAAAAAAACAAACATCTCTATAAAAAGTGGGCAGAGAACATAAACAGACACTTTTCAAAAGAAGACATACACGTGACCAACAAGCATGTGAAAGAAAGCTCAATATCACTGATCATTAAGGGAATGCAAATCAAAACCACAGTGAGATTCCATCTCACACCAGTCAGAATGACTATTATTAGAAAGTCAAAAAATATCTGGTGCTGGTGAGGTTTACACTGTTGTAAAGGTGTTTGCTCTGTGGGTTGGAATGTAAATTAGTTCAACTAATGTGGAAGACAGTGTGGCAATTTCTCGAAGACCTACAGTCAGAAATACCATTTGACCCAGTAATCCCATTACTGGGCATACACTGAAAAGAACATAAATGATTCTATTATAAAGACACATGTACTCACATGTTTATTGCAGCACTGTTCACAATAGCAAAGACATGGAATCAACCTAAATGCTCAGCAAAGATAGACTGGATAAAGAAAATCTGGTATTTATACACCATGGAATACTATGCAGCCATAAAACAGAATGGGATCATGTCCTTTGCAGGGACATGGATAGAGCTCTAGGTCTTTATTCTCAGCAAACTAACACAGAAACAGAAAATCAAATACTGCATGTTCTCACTTATAAGTGGGAGCTAAGTGATGAGAACACATGGGCACGTAGAGGAGAACAACAGGCACTGGGGCATATCAGAAGTTGGAGGTTAGGAGGAGGGAGAGGACCAGCAAAAATAACTAATGGGTACTAGGCTTATTACCTGGGTGATGAAATAATCTGTACAACACACCCCCATGACACACGTTTACCTATGTAACAAACCTGCACATCCTGCACATGTATTCCCGAACTTAAAAGTTAATAATAACAATAATCTCCATTTATTAGTGGATATAATTGGTTAAAGTAATTATTACATTAGAGGGCACAATGACCAAAACTAAGTGGAACAATAATGTCAAGTAAGTTTGTAGTTAAAGAATGTAAGAGCTCCCCGCCTGAAATTGTCATAGAAGACCAAACAACACTGGACCAATTTTAGGACCCCGAAAGACTAATGCTAGTAGCCTCAACGTGCTTAGTAGTAGATCCAGGAAGGGGAAACACCATATGACGGCCTCTAAAGGAAAAAATAATAAGCAGAAGAGAGGGTGAATACAAGCAAAACAAAAGTTTTGCCTCTGGTATTCTTTTTTTTTTTTTTTTTTTGAGATGGAGTCTCACTCTGTTGCCCAGGCTGGATTGCAGTAGTGCGATCTTGGCTCACTGCAAGCTCCGCCTCCCGGGTTCATGCCATTCTCCTGCCTCAGCCTCCTGAGTAGCTGGGACTACAGGCACCCGCCACCACGCCCGGCTAATATTTTGTATTTTGTTTTAGTAGAGATGGGGTTTCACCGTGTTAGCCAGGATGGTCTTGATCTCCTGACCTCGTGATCCGCCTGCCTCGGCCTCCCAAACTGCTGGGATTGCAGGCGTGAGCTATCGCGCCCGGCTGCCTCTGGTATTCTGACATACCATCTTATGGAGCATAGCAGTTGACAATAAACAGACAACGTGAGATAAGAAGCATGTTACTTTTTGTGCTCCAGTCAATTAAAGTAGAATGTGATATAACAAATGGCAAAGCTCATCTATAAGAAACTGAGAGTCATTAGTGGGATGGGGAGTGTGGGAATTCCAGATGCAAAGAGCATTCCCTTCTTCCCCAATTCATAAATAAGATAAAAATAAAAGGTGAAAGTAATAGAGAAAAGTTAGGTCTAAACCAAACTTTAGAAAAATCACAAGGGCTGTCATAAAGTTCAGTAATATTTGACAATATTCTACAGAAACCTAGAGTAATGGTTATTTTACAAATTTTACTTAAAATTAGAGGGTAAGCGATTAAGCAAATTTATTTCAGAGGAATGAATAAAATTGGCAGAGAAATAGACTGATAAAATGATTGCTTTATAGAAGCAACAAAAGATTAGGAACTAAGATCTTTGGTCCCTTGGTTTGTCACTTTTATTAACTAGTTGTGGAATTTAAGCATAGTACCTCATGTATTAAATACATCTTGGGACTCAAAGGAATGCTTGTTTTCCATGACTCATTTTTTGGGGAGAATTTTACAAAACTAGGATGAGAATGAACTTTGAGATGGATAAAATAGCCTTTTCTTTTTTTTTTTTTTTTTGAGACGTAGTCTCGCTCTGTCGCCCAGGCCGGACTGCGGACTGCAGTGGCGCAATCTCGGCTCACTGCAAGCTCCGCTTCCCGGGTTCACGCCATTCTCCTGCCTCAGCCTCCCCAGTAGCTGGGACTACAGGCGCCCGCCACCGCACCCGGCTAATTTTTTGTATTTTTAGTAGAGACGGGGTTTCACCTTGTTAGCCAGGATGGTCTCGATCTCCTGACCTCATGATCCACCCGCCTCGGCCTCCCAAAGTGCTGGGATTACAGGCGTGAGCCACCGCGCCCGGCCTAAAATAGCCTTTTAAAGTTAGTAGTACTTTATAGTAATATTAAAGATAGGATACGCAGGTAGAAATTTAAAACATATCACATGTAAAGTTGACTTTAAAGTGAGGAAGGAGTCCTTGTGCTTTGTCGTCATTGGTTATAAATGGACTGTTTCATGTGTTTCTTTACTTTCTTTGTGGCTACAGTATACTATTATAAAAGGCACAATTTTATTTCTTTGTCACTTCAAAACTAATCCTCTTAAGTGCCAAAGTATAAAGTATTAGCTATCTATTTTATTAATTCATAAATATCAACTGTTACAGGAGAATTAAAGAACGGGTATTCTGTTACTTAATTTGGACAAACCAGGAAGAAAGAATGTATTCAGAAGAAAGATGATCAGAGCCTTGATTAAAATGGTGATAATATAGAGAAAGTTAAATAACATTAGTTTATACAACTAAAACTGATGTAGTACCAAATATATGACAGGGACAATTACAAGTAAGACCCAAACCATGAGGATTCAAGTAGAAGAGATTTCAGACTGTATTTCCATGACAAAGAAGAAAGTCCTTAAAAAATTAAGGAGGTATAAAAATATTTTCACATAAACAATGAGATCACATGGACACAGGAAGGGGAATATCACACTCTGGGGACTGTGGTGGGGTGGGGGGAGGGGGGAGGGATAGCATTGGGAGATATACCTAATGCTAGATGACGAGTTAGTGGCTGCAGCGCACCAGCATGGCACATGTATACATATGTAACTAACCTGCACAATGTGCACATGTACCCTAAAACTTAAAGTATAATAAAAAAAAATATTTTCAGATAAAAAAAAAGAATTTGTTTTGAGGAATCCTAACCTTAAATAATTACTGAAGGAAGTTGTCTGAACAGAAAAAAAAAAAAAAATAACAGAAAAACTCTCGAACTTCAGAAAGGAAGGAACACCAGAACGGGGAACAATAAAATCAGTATAATAGACCAGGATTCTTATTCATTTCTTAAGTCATATTTTATGGTTGAAACAAAAGTTATAAAACTACCTGAGGTGGTGCATAATATGTGTAGGAAAAATACCTGACAATTATAAGAGCCATATATGACAAACCCCCAGCTAACATCCTACTGAATGGGCAAAAATGAGAAGCATACCCCTTGAAAACCAGCACAAATCAAGGATAGCCTCTCACCACTCCTATTCAACATAGTATTGGAAGTTCTGGCCAGGGCCATCAGGCAAGAGAAAGAAATAAAGAGCATCCAAATAGGAAGAGAGGAAGTCAAACTATCCCTGTTTGCAGATGACATGATCCTATATCTAGAAAGCCCCCAGTCTCAGCCCAAAAGCTTCTTAAGCTGATAAACAACTTCAGCAAAGTCTCAGGATACAAAATAAATGTACAAAAGTCACCAACATGACTAGACATCAAAAATAGTCAAGCCAAGAGCCACATTAGGAAAGAACTCCCCTTCAAAATTGCCACAGAAAGAATAAAACACCTACGAATACAGCTAACAAGGGAAGTGAAGGATCTCTACGAAGAGAACTACAAACCACCGCTCAGAGAAATCAGAGATGACACAAACAGGAAAAAACTTTCCATGCTCATGAATGGGAAGAATCAATATGCTTAAAATGGCCATACTGCCCAAAGCAATTTAGAGCCTCCTGCTCTCTACTTTTTGCTTAGGATTGTCTTGGCTATTTGGGGGTTCTTTTCTGGTTCCATATGAATTTTAAAATAGTTTTTTCTAGTTCTGTAAAGAATGTCATTGGTAGTTTTATAGGAATACCACTGAGTGTGTAAATTGCTTTGGGCAGTATGGCCATTTTAACGATATTGATTCTTCCTATCCATGAACATGGAATGTTGTTCTGTTTGTTTCATCTCTGATTTCCTTCAGAAGTGTTTTGTAATTATCGTCGTAGAGACATTTCACATCTCTGGTTGGTTGTATTCCTAGATATTTTATTATTTTTGTGGCAATTGTGAAAAGAACTGCATTCCTGATTTTTTTTAATTTAATTTTTAACTTCAGGGGTACATGTGCAGGTTTGTTACATAGGTAAACGTGTGTCATGGGGGTGTGTTGTACAGATTATTTCATCACCCAGGTAATAAGCCTAGTATCCATTAGTTATTTTTCCTGATCCTGTCCCTCTTCCTTACCTCCAACTTCTGATATGCCCCAGTGCCTGTTGTTCTCCTCTATGTGCCCATGTGTTCTCATCACTTAGCTCCCACTTATAAGTGAGAACATGCAGTATTTGATTTTCTGTTTCTGTGTTAGTTTGCTGAGAATAAAGACCTAGAGCTCTATCCATGTCCCTGCAAAGGACATGATCCCATTCTGTTTTATGGCTGCATAGTATTCCATGGTGTATAACTACCAGATTTTCTTTATCCAGTCTATCATTGCCGGGCATTTAGGTTGATTCCATGTCTTTGCTATTGTGAACAGTGCTGCAATGAACATATGAGTACATGTGTCTTTATAATAGAATGATTTATATTCTTTTGAGTACATACCCAGTAATGGGATTACTGGGTCAAATGGTATTTCTGACTGTAGGTCTTTGAGGAATTGCCACACTGTCTTCCACAATAGTTGAACTAATTTACACTCCCACCAACAGTGTAAACGCCTTTCTTTTTCTCTACAACCTTGCCAGCATCAGATAGTTTTTGACTTTCTAAGAATAGCCATTCCGACTGGTGTGAGATGGTATCTCATCGTGGTTTTGATTTACATTCTTCTGATATTAGTGATGCTGAGCATTTTCTCATATGCTTGTTGGTCACATGTATAGCTTGTTTTGAGAATTTTGTGTTCATGTCGTTTGCCCATTTTTTTAATGTTGTTTTTTTTATTGTAAATTTGTTTAAGATCTAAAGGGAGATTCTTGAGCCACATATAATATTATTCCTAGATAACGATAGGCAGTGTTTTTTAAACATTCATCTTGAGATTAGGTGAAAACACTTATTGTTTCAAACTTAAGAAATGACCTTAGTGTTGGAAATTCAAATTTCAGAAAATAGAAATAATGGTGACCTCAAAGAAAGGAGCAAATTTACCTCTAGCCATAAACATTCTGCACTTAACAGTTACCTCACCTAGAAGTTCATAAATATAATTCATAAATGATAAAAATTGCTTTTGTCTTCAAATTATTGATAAAAATTATAGTCATTATAAACACAGCATATAATTTCGACTGAGAGGGAATTTGTTTTTGTGTATGTTTTTAGCAATTTACGGTAACTCTAATCTCTATCATTTCTGTTTTAGGTGCTAAATGATCAGATAATCAAAATCATTTTTTTTTGCAACCCACAGCCATTAGTTTGTATAAGAGGGTTAACGATTGCATACTGGATCATTTACCTGCAGACAGTGTACAATTAGATTCATTGCTGCAATTAGATTCATTGCAGCAATTAGATTCATTGCTGCCTCTCTTTGTTCCTTTCCTGCTTCCTGTATTCTAAAGTGCTAATAATTCGTGAAAGATAAGAGAGTACAATATCACAGGGAAATAAGTTAATGTATAACATTTGCATTTTGTTCCAAATGTCCAAAGTGATAACCTATACATGGTCTCTGAAATTTAGCAGCTTCTTACAAATGAGACAGTTTTAAATCTCTCTTCACACATAAATAAATTTTCTTCCCTTTTTTGTTTTTAAATAATCACAAAGATAACACATTAAGAGAATAATCTAAAACAGGATGACCAAACCTAAAACCAAATGTATGAAAAAAGGTTTACATGAACCATCTCATTTAGTTAAAATCAAAACTAATTCAGATAATCACCTTTAATTTTGCCTTCTAAACATGCTAAGCATTTGAATTCATAAGATTTCTCACCAGTGTAATATTGTGGAAATTATTCCCTATTAAAAGTGCTGCTTCTGCGAAGCAGCCAATTTGTTTTACATATCTGATGTGTATGACAGATCAGAGATTTGTTTTTCATTTTTTAAAGTCACAGTTGAGATACTCAACTGCAATGATTTTGAGGTAGAAAACATAAAATAAGCATTTCCTATTGTATTTTTGCAAAGACATAGGCACAGGGACAGCTCAAGAACTTTCCCACAGTCCAGCTACCCACAAGTGGAGATGGACCCACCTGGTCATTGAGTAACATATTCCTTTGTCTATGCCAAGAATCTGCTCTTGAAACATAGCAACACAGGGTGTTACCAAAAATGAGGGACCAACATCTTAGATCGTTCTACCACAAAAAGATAGAATCAGAGGATATTAGAAAAAGAAGAGACTGACCTTTCAGATCATTTTTTTCAACTCCCTCTATTTATGGATAAAAACATACTACCTATAGAAAAAAAAAAAAAAGGAGAGCCCACAATAGAAAAGAGTTAGTAATAGTGTGGAGACAAAACCTCTGATTGTCATTCCAGTGCACTTGACCCTTTGGTAACTCCTGAAGGTCACAATCCCTTAAAGAGTGCTGGCTCCAGGTTTCTACACTGTCTTACTGCATATGTTTTGAAATAGTTTCTGTGTAAATAAACTTTCCTCACCTTGTGCAATTTTGAGTGTGCTGTCTGTTTTCTATTATGATATGATGGATACACTAACTCCTAGTCATCTTACAAACATTCTGAGCTTCAGTTTTTCATCTGTAAAAGAGAGGTATAATGTAGATCTCACACAGTCGAAATGAAAATCAAATGAGATAATGTATATAAATCACTTATCAAAGTACCTGACACACAGTAAACTCCCAATTAATGCTAATTATCACTAGTGGGTATACTATGTCTTACTCTTCTCTATAAATAGAGATGTGTAGAAAATTTTAATATTTCACATGTTTAAGGGAAAAATGTTGTAGGAATATCAGTAGCTACTTGAGAAAATTATTCTATTATGTATTTACCAATTCTAATTAATTAAAGATACACGGTCTAATTTTAATTTATCTTCTTATTCCACACTGAAACCTCCCCAAATGGAAACTGTGAATATTTTAATATCTCATAATTTTACCATTTTCTATCTGGTATTATAAGACAATGACTTAGGATAAGAATCCATCTATCACATTAAAAATACTTTGGGAAAGAATAAAGTTTCTTAGGTAACAAAAGGGGCATCATAAAAGTTTTCAAAAATTGTTTATCTTCCAGATAATAAATATCAACATGACCATTTATCACTGTATCACCGATATATACAGGGGGAATCAAAATATATTTTTTCTTTTTTCTTAATTTTATTTCAATAGCTTTGGAGGAACAGATGGCATTTGGTTGCATGGAAAAGTTCTTTATTGGTGATTTCTGAGATTTTGGTGCACTCATCACCCGAGCAGCGTACACTGTACCCAATGTGTAGTCTTTTATCCCTCACCCTTCTCCCACCCTTCCGCCAAGTCACCAAAGTCTATTATATCACTCTGATGCCTTTGCGTTCTCATAGCTTAGCTCCCACTTAAAATTGAAAATATACGATGTTTGGTTTTTCATTCCTGAGCTACTTCACTTTCAATAATAGTCTCCAACTCCACCCAGATTGCTGCAAATGACACTATTTCATTCCTTTTTACGGCTGAGTAGTATTCCAGCGTATGTATACACATTTTCTTTATCTACTCATTGGTTGATGGGCATTTAGGCTAGTTCCATATTCTTGCAATTGTGAATTGTCCTGCTATAAACATGCATGTGCAAGTGTCTTTTTCATATAATTACTTCTTTTCCTCTGGATAGACACCCAGTAGTGGGATTGCTGGATCAAACGGTAGTTCTACTTTTAGTTCCGTAAGGAATTGCCATACTGTTTTCCATAGTGGTTGTATTAGTTTACAACGCCACCAGCAGTGTAAAAGTATTCCCTTTTCACCACCATCTGTTATTTTTTTATTTTTTAATTATGACCATTCTTGCAGGAGTAAGGTCGTATCTCATTGTAGTTTTGATTTGCATTTCCCTGATAACTGGTGGTGTTGAGCACTGTTTCATATGTTTGTTGGCCACTTGTATATCTTCTTTTGAGAATTGTCTATTCATATTCTTAGCCCACTTTTTGATGAGATTTTTTTTCTTGCTGATTTGAGTTCCTCACATATTCTAGATATTAGTCCTTTTTCAGATGCATAGTTTGTGAACATTTTCTCCCACTCTGTGGGTTGTCTGTTTACTCTGCTGATTATTTCTTTTGCTGTGCAGAAGCTTTTTAGTTTAATTAGGTCCCATCTATTTATTTTTGTTTTTGTTGTATTGGCTTTTGGGTTCTTGGTCATGAACTTCCAGAAGCTGTGATTTTTTAAAATTTATGGTATCTATTTCTGTGGAGCATTTTTCATCCATATCCTGTATTGTCCTTTTTAATGTTTTTAAATTGGTTTTCACCTTGCTCTGGTATCTCCTTGTGTAGCTTAATAATCAGCCTCCTGAATTTCAGAGATTTCTTCTTGGTTTAAATACATTGCTTGGGGGACTAGTGTGGTCTTTTGGGGATGTTATAGGACCTTGTTTTATCATATTACAAGGATTACTTTTCTGATTCCTTCTCATTTGGATTAACTATTTCAGTGGAAAAATCTGGAACTCCAGGGCTGCTGTTTAGATTCTTTTGTCCCACAGCGTGATCCCTTGATGTGGTGTACTCCCCATTCCCCTATGGATGGGACTTCCTGTGAGCCCGTCTGCAGTGATTGTTGTTGCTCTTCTGGGTCTAGCCACTCACTGTGCCTACCAGGCTCTCTGCTAGTGCTGGGGAATGTCTGCAAAGAGTCCTGTAATGTGATGGATCTTCAGGTCTCCCAGCCATGCATACAAGTACCTGCTCTGGTGGAGATGGCAGCAGAGTGAAGCTGACTCTGTGATAATCCTTGGTTGTAGATAATGTTTAGTGTGCTGGCTTTCCCGAATGCTGGTTATGCTAGCAGTAAAGTTGTCACATGGACAGACTCAGGACCACGGGTTAGCCTGAATGTTGCAGGCAGTAGAATTAGTTTTTGTTTTCTCCTTCCTTGGAGCAGGGTTGTTCTGTCATGTGTTGCTGTAATGTTTTGGGTTGGTTGGCCTCCACCCAGGAGGTGGTGCATTCACAAGAGCACCAGCTGCGATATTAAAAGGGGAATATAAGCTTAAAATATCTTAAATAAATGCCAAATAAATGTTCTTTTGCACTGTTTAGAGGTTTAATGTAGACTATGTATATTTCTACAAAATCTAGTTCTCTTATGAGAATTCGATATCCATTTAAGGGAGCTCTTTTCTTTCGATGAAGGTTGATATGAATTTAGGAGACTTGGTTTACATTTTCTTCAACCTGAAACTTTAAATGATGATTGAGAATGTGTAAAGTTGTCCCATATTTTTAAAATAAACTTTCCAAATTGGAAAGAAATTTAGGTCCGAAAAGAGCGTAATGGTTCCTTTAGAGTGGACCACAGATAGAATACAAGTTGGAATCAACTTGCAGTTAGATGAGAGTGTCATAAAAATAATATGATTGAATTAATTTAGCTTATATCAGCATCTCTGGCCAACCCTGCTTACAGGGTGCCCAGGGCTGAAATAAGAAGTGTTTCTGCCATTTATTTGCTGGGGTTTTGGCAGACATTCATGGCAGTGCTCATGCGGACCTTAAAGAGTACATTATTTTTATTTCCCTTCTCATTTTCTTAAGCAGTAGTTTTTGCTTTATGACTAATTAGGAGATAATAATTAGGTTCAGAATTTTTTTCTTCATTTTTAATATACTTTGAACCTTGCATAGGCCCCATAAACTAGTTGTATACATTTAACTTTCAGTTTTAATTCCTTAGTCTTAAGAAAAATAGCAATGGACTTTAAAATATACTTTATTTTTCAGAGTACATTTAGGTTCACAGCAAAAACGAGCAGAAGGTACGGAAATTTCTATACACCCACTGCCCCCATACAGGTATAACCTCCCCCATTATCAACACGCCCCACCAGAGTGGTACATTCTTTACAATAATGAGCCTACATTGACACATCATTATCATCCAATGTTCATAGTTTGCAGTAAGGTTCACTGTTGGTGTTGTACATTCTATGGGTTTGAATGAATGTATAATGACATATATCTATCACTATACATTCATTAATCATACAGAGTATTTTTACTGTTCTAAAAATTCTGTGATCAGCCTATTCATCCCTCTCTCTGTGCCCCAATAATAAGGTTTAAATCTAAGAAAATATGTACAGCCCCAGGCAACCACTGATCTTTTTACTGCTGCCATATGCTTGCCTTTTCTAGAATGCCATAGGTTTGCCTTTTCTAGAATTACAGTTGGAATCATACAGTATGTAGGCTATTCAGATTCACTTCTTTCCCTCAGTAATATGCATTTAAGGTTCCTGCATGTCTTTTCCCAGCTTGATAGCTCATTCTTTTTAGCACTGAATAATATTCTATTGTCTGGATGTACTATAGCTTATTTTCCCTTCACCTACTGGAGGATCTTTTGGTTGCTTTCAAGTTTTAGCAAGTATGAATAAAGCTGCTCTATACATCTGTATGCAGGTTTTGTGTAGACATAAGTTTTCAACACCTTTGGGTAAGTACCAAATAGTGTGATTTCTATGTTTCATGGTAAGTGTGTGTTTGTCTTGTGAAAGACTGCCAACCTTTCTTCCAAAGTGGCTGGCTGATTTTACATTGCCACTAACAATGAATGAGAGTTTCCATTGCTCTACACCCTGGCCAGCATTTGTTGTTGTCAGTGTTCTGAACTTTGTTCATTCTAATAGGTGCGTAATAGTATCTCACTGTCATTTTAATTTGCATTTCACCGATGACATGTGACATAGGGCATCTTTTCACATGCTTAATTGCCATCTGCAAGTCTTCTTTGGTTAGATGTCTGTTAAAGCCTTCAGCTCATTTTTTTGTACTAGGGTTGTTTATGTTATATAAAATTTTTAGTTATTTTGAATACATAATAGTTGTACATATTTATGGGGTACATGTGATATTTTGATATAAATATACAATGTAATCAAATCACAGTAATTGGGGAGTCCATCACCATAAGCATTTATCACTTTTTTGTGTTATGAACATTTTAATTCTACTCTTTTAGTTATTTTGAAACATGCCATAAGTTATTGTTAACTATCACTCTCACTAAAAATCAAGGGAAATTTTCCTCTGGAAATCCAAATTAATGTCAAGGCCTTTAAGACCCCAAGGAAAATTTAATTTAACTTATAAAGAAGATATCAAAAATATCTCAAGAAATTTTTGGGACAAAGCTAGACGAGTTCAGGGCTAAACAAGATATAATCAAAATGTAAAAAGCAATGCTTGAAGTTTCTATGACAATTTGTTAACCTCGAGTTGTAGAAACTCCCTTTATCCTTGCTGAATATGATTTTATCATCTAAAGGATTAAATGGTTTTTTTGTGTGGAGATGTTGGGTAAGAAAAATGAGACAGATACATTTGCCATATGGCTGTAGGTAGCAAGATATTTTAGAACACATCAGACAAATATATGCTCATCCATGCTTCACGGTACAAGCATATACCGTGGATTAAATAACTATGGTCTCCAGGTTCAGTTCCTTTATTATTATCATATTCTACAAACCTACTTTAAGGGATATTGTATTGATTTAATCATCATTTATGTACTTATTAAAATATTTCTTGTTTCTTACGTGGTAAGCACTACTATAGGTACTACGGATTTAGTAGTTGAAAACCATGGTCTCAAGCTTTTAAAGCTTACAGTCTATGGAAGATAGACCCACCAATACATATTAAATAATGTGTGATGACTATTATTAAAAGAGAAATGTAGAAGATATGATGACATATAGCTGAAGGAAGCCTCACTGGAGAAATACATAATATTAGGTGATACATATAAGAAAAACTTGCAAAGAACCAGTCATTTTACTATGTATGAAGAGTAAAGTTGTTTGGTAAACATATTAAAACAGTTAAGACAGAAGTAGCAAAGTTAGTAAATGCATGTATGTTTGGGGACCTCTAAAAAGTTAAGAAGGTCTTAGGCTAAGATGAGGTTGGAAAAGTAGCTTGGGAAATATGTTTAATGATACAAATTCCAAGCTAATGATTATGGACTTCAATCTACATGCCCTGTTAATATTATGGCTATGCCAGGGAGAACTTAAAATCATAGGACAGAGAATATGGCACATCTTCATCTTCCCAGAACATGAATTTTACTGGAAGATATGTAAAAATTAGCAGAAGACACATTGTGGAATAGGAGCATGATACTGATGTGACTTGTAAAGGAAAAATAAATTAGGCTGATAAATTTTCAATTGTTGGTAGCAATGTTATAATTCAAATTTATTCAGCACAATAATTACAGAACTGAAGGGATAGATATTTGGTCATTTACTGGCATGGAGCCATTGACAAGTTTAGCTAAGCAATGTCATGCTCATGGTACCTAGCAAGGCTTCAGTTGATGGGCATAAACTGAGTATAGCAATTTATCTTGAGAACATTTTTAATTTGTTAAATATTTATTTTGTAACTAAGAAATTATTTGGTGTGAGATGGTATCTCACTGTGGTTTTGATTTGCATTTTCTGATGGCCAGTGATGATGAGCATTTTTTCATGTGTCTGTTGGCTGCATAAATGTCTTCTTTTGAGAAGTGTCAGAACGGCAATCATTAAAAAGTCAGGAAACGACAGATGCTGGAGAGGATGTGGAGAAATAGGAACACTTTTACATTGTTGGTGGGACTGTGAACTAGTTCAACCATTGTGGAAGACAGTGTGGCGATTCCTCAAGGATCTAGAACTAGAAATACCATTTGACCCAGCAATCCCATTACTGGGTATATACCCAAAGGATTATAAATCATGCTGCTATAAAGACACATGCACACGTATGTTTATTGTGGCACTACTCACAATAGCAAAGACTTGGAACCAATCCAAATGTCCATCAATGATAGACTGGATTAAGAAAATGTGGCACATATACACCATGGAATACTATGTAGCCATAAAAAGGATGCGTTCATGTCCTTTGTAGGGACATGGATGAAACTGGAAACCATCATTCTGAGCAAACTATTGCAAGGACAGAAAAACAAACACCGCATGTTCTCACTCATAGGTGGGAATTGAACAATGAGTACATTTGGACACAGGGTAGGGAACATCACACACCAGGGCCTGTCATGGGGTGGGGGGAGGGGGGAGGGATAGCATTAGGAGATATACCTAATGTAAATGACGAGTTAATGGGTGCAGCACACCAACATGGCACATGTATACATATGTAAGAAACCTGCATGTTGTGCACATATACCCTAGAACTTAAAGTATAATAATAAAAAAATCCCAACAATTAAAAAAAAAGAAATTAGTTGATTTTAGTCTCACTCTATGTATATATAAGATTTCCTTAGGAAAACGACATATAAAAAAGATAAATCTATATTTTAGCGGTGGCATTTTGCAGGCTTTTTTGCACTCAGATATCTTCCAGGGAATAATAGGCCAAGTCAACTGTTCATGATTACATTCCTAGAGAGGGACTCTGGATCCTCGGGTTTGAATGAAAAGATACTGGGCTACCTAGTAAAAGATGTTTATATTAACTCTAAGGCGGCAATAGATAAATGATAGATATATTAGGTAGACAAAGTTCAAATAAATACATTTGAAAATCAAAATAATAAAATAAAATCTCTTCGGAAAGTTTCAGATACAATTCCTAAATTTACCTTAACTTAAAGCATTGCTTGACTGAAAGTAATATGGAATTTTTAGTTTGGTGAGTCTAATGCATGCAGGTGCCTTCTGAATTGTCTGCTTTTCTCAAGCATCTAGGAGATGATAAGCAGGAGGTCGGGATTAACCTGTGACAGCCAACCTCTCCAGATCTCTAGGTAATGCCAGGTAATCCAGGAGTGCATCTTTCAGCTTGCTCCACTAGAATTCAAAATGCCACATAAGCGTCCAAGGGGTAGATACAGCTTGCCTTCAGAGGACATTGAGATGGAAACATCTTGGTCAGTACCCCATAAAGAGTCTAGACGTACATTCGAGTCCAGATTTGTTTTGATTGTTGTAGTATTATCTTTCATTATTTTATTGTTTTCTTATAAAATTAAAAGATACCAAAGTTAAAGAAAATAAGATTTCCTGATTAAAATAAGTACTTGTCAAACTAATAATAAATATAATTAATATATTTAACTAAATATTTGAATTTTGTGAGAAATGTTAATTATTTTGCTGGCATTTCATGGGAATGTTGGTTTTACGAAATAGAGTTGTGTTTGAAATTACAAAGGAGTATTTATGTTTGTGTGATTGTTAATTTTAGGTGTCAACTTTCCTGGATTAAGGAATACCTGAAGAGCTAATAAAGCATTATTTTTGGGTGTGTCAGTGAGGGTGTTTCCAGAGGAGAATGGCATGTGAGTTGGTGAACTGAGTGGGGAAGATACACCCTTAGAGTGGTCAGGCACTATCCAACTGCTGGGAGCACAGATAAAACAAAAAAGCAGAAAAAAAGAGAATTTGTTTTTTCTCTCTGCTGGAACCAGGACACCCTTCTTCCCCTGCACTTGAACATCAGAACTTCAGGCCCTCTGGCCTTTTCATTCCAAGACTTGCACCAGCAGCCCCCTCGCTCACAGGCCTTCAATATTGGACTGAGATTTACATTACTTGCTTCTTTGGTTCTGAGGTTTTCAAATTTGGACTGAGCCATGCTACCAGCTTAGCTGGGTCTCTAGCTTTTAGATAGCCTGTTGTGGGATGTCTCAGCCTCCATGATTACGTGAGCCAACTCCCCTAACAAATCTTCTTTCATCTATCTATCTATCTATCTATCTGTCTGTCTGTCTGTCTGTCTGTCTGTCTGTCTGTCTGTCTTTCTGTCTGTCTGTCTATCTATTTATCTATCATCTATTATGTATTCACCTATCCTATTGGAGAACTCTGACTAATACAGTTTGTAATAAAACAAATTTTGCTAATTGTGTGTACTTACTTATCCTCCTAATCTATAAGACAGAAAAATTCTAAAAAACAGCACTACTATTTCACTGCATTATTCAAACCATTGCTTCTTTGGAATTTGACAAATGAATCATGACATAGATTTATACACAAAAGCTCACAAAATATGCACTTTAGAATCACAAAAAACTTCTCATCCACAGTCCATTTACATAAAAATAGATATCATAGCTATCTCTCCTTTTCACTCTTCCTACTTTTTCAATTTCCGCTACTCTTCTACCACTTTTACTAACATTTTCCCCAATACAAAGGGAAATTGTTTTCTTCAAGATTTTAGAACAAGAATGATTAATTTGCCTTTTAGCCATTGTTTTACATTTTCATGAATTTTGACTTTATATAGTTTTTATCATTGCCTGATTACATACTCAAGTAAGTATACATTTGAAGATGACAACTATATATAACTACATTTAAGTGTTTAAAAATGGTATCTACATGGCTTTGTCAATATTGTTGAAATGAACTGAAGATTTTTAAGCAAGCATAGTTTGGATTCCACCTGAAAGAAACAGTACATTGATGGTTCCCAAGCTCTAGTCATACCGCAAGTGACCATCTAGGATAGTTTCATATGCCTGTGAATTGATGCAGAAATTTACCTGCAGATCAAAAGTGCCACAGGATATAAACATTGTGTGATGATCGCATTCTAGCCAAGGTTAAAAAGAATATGTGGTGCTTTGAAAATTTTGAGATTTTTATGTTTTAAAAGCTAGATATTTATACAATTATGATATTTAAAAATATTTAAATATGTTATTAAAACTCATTAAAGATATTTTTCCAATGAAAGCAACATATTTTCAACCAGGATAAATTTGGTTTGTATTAGTGGATATTGAGGAACAAAAAGAAGAGATTAGATAAACAGTGCTTCAGTCATGTTCCATGAAGAATTGTACCTATAACTTCTTTAGTGAGTCAAGAGAAGCTAGTTCACAGGTACATTAATATTTTCTCCATGTCTGCCACATTAGGCTCTTAAAGTTCTTTCCTGTTTCTATACTTGCTCTCCTAATACCTTCATTATAGAACATAGCACACTAAAAGTATTGATTTACGTGACGGTCATCCCTTCTAGGTCAGTAATACTCAAAAATAGCTGGAAAGCTTGTTAAACATGGGGATTCTTAAAGCCTCACTTCCAGAGTCTGATATAATAGGTTTAGGGTATGCACAGAAATCTGTGATTTTAATCAGCACCCCAAGTTATTTGTCATAGATTATCCTCGGACTACCATTTGAAACCAAAATCTAGTCTATAGGGCAGGATCATGTCATAGTAATTTTTATTTTAAATCAGGTGATGAATAAATGTTGAATTTTAAGCAAAGTTCAAAGTTCAATTGTAGACATTTCAATTCAAATATAAGAAGTGGCCCATGATAAAGTAATATCTAGCTTCATAATGTTGAACACCGTCCTTTATCACCCGTGTTTCTCAACTGAGAGCAATTCCTTCCCCCCATGAAACATATCTGGCAATGTCTGGAGAAATTTTTGGTTGTCATAAGTGAAGAGCGAGTTTGTTACTGGTATCTGTCCAGTTGACGCCACAGATGCTGCTAAACATCTTACAAAGCATGGAATGGCCCCAGCAACCTAGAGCTATGCAGCTCAAAATGTTACTAGTCCCAAGTTTAAGAAACTCTGCTTTGTCATGATCCCACCTTACATCCCTGATCCCCCTTTGTTTGGGACAGAGTCCCACTCTGTCACCCAGGCTGGAGTACTGTGGTACGATCTCGGCTCACTGCAACTTCCACCTCCTGGGTTCAAGCGATTCTCCTGCCTCAGCCTCCTGAGTAGCTGGGAATACAGGTGCCTGCCACCACACCCAGCTAATTTTTGTATTTTTAGTAGAGACAGGGTTTCACCATGTTGGCTAGGCTGGTCTCGAACTCCTGACCTCAAGTAATCCATCTGCCTTGGCCTCCCAAAGTGCTGTGATTACAGGCATAAGCCACTGCACCCGGCCTTCCTGATCCCATTAAGAACTTCTCCCCCATTTTTCCAATGGACATCCTATATGCACATCCATGGGATGGAACATATTCTGCAGATAGTCAAGTATTTTTCCCTAGATATTTTTTACTTTGCTCTACACATATGCTTTCTCTATCTACTGAACTAATAATGTTACTCACTAGATCAAACTTGGCCTCTGAATTACAAAAGTCTTTTGAAACATATGGCAGAGAAAATCTTGAAAACCAGTTATATTACTTTCAAGAGTCAGGTATTTTGCAACACAAAAAGCTAAGCCTGGACAGAAACTTGGCAAAAAAATGTGTGCACTAAATGATAGATTTGAAACAGATAAAAAAGATTCAAACCACCCTATCTTTATAGATTAGATAAAGATTGCGGGAGCTGAAAAAATAGCTCCTGAGAGGGGGGCTGGCATCATTCCATCCCAGAATGATGAAAACACCAGGCAGGTCTGGGGCAATCTGAGAGCAGAGGCGAATTGTGATTCATTCTCTGGGCAAAGTCCAAAGAAGAAGCAGGTTTCACGGTGAATTTCTTTATTACTGCATGGAATTACATTTGTGAAGCATAAATGATGCGAAGGCACATGTAAAGAAAGAGCACTTTAGAGCAAAGAGCATCTACAGCCACAGAAAGTATTCCTAAATTTCCTATGCCATTTAAGAGAAGTGCAGGTATGTCTAAGAGAGGGGCAGATATATTTTCCCTACCGACAACGTAATATTATGGTAAGGTCTCCACCATTTTCCGTCTTTCTTATTACTAATCACCTCCATAACCTGTGGTCAACTCTGAGGATAAGGGAGGAAGAAAAATTTCCCAAATGACTGAATCAATACCTTAAATGTCTAAGGAGGAAAAAACCCCACCGACCAAACAAAACTATACTATCATAATTTATCTGGAAGTGACTAAATTTTATGCCATGTAGAAGGATGTGAGCTTCAACTAGAGATTATTATTCTATAGAAGTTTACATTTTAGAATAACTATTTTGTTGCTTTAGTATATTTTCCCATATATAGATAGAGACTTGTAGATACACAGTAGTTGTTTCAATCTTCGTTTTGCTCATCCAATTGCCTGAGCTATATCTCTTTATAAAAATTTTCTCACTTCTGTCTTGACCCTATCAAAACTCCTGCTGACCTCCACTTGGGAGCATTCACTGTGAAGTGTATGCAATAATATGATGAAAGTAATTCACATCAACTTATGATAATCTGAAGTGAAAAAGGGAATAGTGGATTTCAGAGCAGTGAGTCTATATACTTGCATATTTTGGATGTTCAAATTGAAATATATGTAACTAGTTATGCCGTTTATAGTGTCTTTCACTTGCCATGCCAACTCTTACATTCAAAGGGTATAAAAGTAGACTCATGCTTTCTTCAACTTTGCAAATGATCCTCACTTTACACTAAACAAAGAGTTTTTGCTCATCAAATTTGAATTAGGATCATGTGTACTCAATATGTATAACATACTAGGATACATCAAATACACGGGTATTCTCCCAGACTACAAAAAATATGTCTACTATCTTAAAATCATTCCCCATGTACAGATGGGTGATATATGAATATCAGAGGTGTGTTCTTATCTGTAAAAAAGGAATAATAATAATAATACCTGCCTTAAATAGACATGCTTTTGAGGATTAAATGAGATAAAGTTAGAAAACTTTCCTCAAAAATGTTGGTTCTTTCCCCAGGAACATGTCTCTTTCAGGCTCAGAGATGTCAAATATATTGACATTTTTAATATAACTGGACAAATAAATAGGACTAACTACAAGAATTAACAGTCGTACAATGTCAACATATAGTGAGAAACTAGCTATGGACCATGACTTATGTGATTTGGATGAAGTAAACTACTATGTAATAAGAGGGAGACTGCTAAAACATTTCTAAGAAAAGCAAATGAGAACAAAATCAAGTATAATTAGAAGTTCTGAAGAAAAATAAGAGGACATAGCTAAACACGTTTTTGGACTTCAAAATACGTTCTTATATTGCTTTTTCTCCTACAAAAGATAGATGCTATTATAGTACTGGACTTATAATAGATAAGAGACTAGTTCTTGTTTGATTTTGTGAAGCACTGTGAGATTAACCTGGCTCCTTTCTGCCCATTCCAAGCCTAAAGTCCTGAGGGTGGTGGGCTGTCACTTTGGCATCTCATTCCAAAATTTGTACAGAATTCAGCCAGGCAATGGATGGATGAAGTGATTATAAAAGTGAAGGTATTTCAGGAAGAAACATAACTGCATTCATAAGTTGTTCCTCCATTATCTCCATTGCCTTTCACAATCTCAGATGTTGGGAAAACATTAAAATGCACAAACATCACAGTGTATGGGCAAAATCATGAATGTAGAAGTAAATATTCAAGCTCAAGTATTTTGTAGCTCTGTGATCTTAGTAAGCTATTTTGCCACTCTGTCAATTTCCTAAAGGCTAAAATGTGAGCAATAATATTTCAAATGGTTTTGTTGTGAAAATAAATACAGCCTTTAACTTAGTATCAGCATAGAATAAATGATTGTTTTTTTCAATGAGTGTGTTGAAAAAATGAATTATATTAACTAAAATTTGCTTGGTGTTTGGCATATAATAGGACTCAATAAATGTTAATGACATAAATCGATAAATGAATGAACCAATGAATAAAATAAGCAAACCCAGAGAAAAGTCTCTAATAATATGTCATGAAGTTCTATCTTTGGCCATTTCTTGTTCTTGCCTTCATTGCTTATATAGAAGAGAAGCCATTCTCAGACCAGGGATTTCCATATATCTTCTTTATAACATTATCTGTGGCTTTATCGTGCTGATGTTTACTAAGCCAAAGCACATCTTAGACTCTTTGGTCACCACTGTTTCATAATCTAGTTCAACTGATGTTCCAAAATATTTTACTGAGAACATTTTACTCTTCTATGTATTCCTTAAAAATGAAACTGACTGCTATTAAAATTAAGAAAACGTCCTAATTAAAATTATGGCTTTTTTCAAGGTTTCCAGGTTTTATTACCTTTACAACTTTACTTGAGGTTTACAAGTGTTCCATACAATTAACTCTTGTTTCATATATAATAAAAGGCTAGGCATTTTATTATAAATATTAGAGATGCACATACAGTTGACACACTCGTCTCCTAATATCAATTTTAAGGCATGTCTTAGTGCTTTATTATGTATATGAAATTTGCCACTTGGAAAACATATGTATCATACTTGGGATTTCTGTACCTAAGGAGATAATTTTTTCAAGCTATTGTGAGATAAATATGCCCATGGGAAGACTGTAGAACAGGAGACGTTCTCTCATGATCATTCTATAGCATATATGAAGGTAAAGAGAATACCTCTTAACCTACTTATCATAATAAGCATTGCATTGTTACAAAAAAACTGTTGCATTAATAAAAAATTTCCTAAAGTACATATATCATTTTAAAAGTAGCTCCAATATTAAATCAGCAATTACCTTCACATTGGAACTCTTTTCTGTGTTGTGCCTGAGGCAGCTTCCAGAAGTCATACAGAGGTAACAGCTGCCACAAAAAACTGAGGACTTAGGGAAGCCCACAGTACCAGAAATTCCATCTTTTAGATGGATGCCAAGTCAGACTAGGGAATATGACTTAAACCTTGATGATCAGAGAGGAATGTCTGTCTCTGTGTGTGTATGTGTGTGCATGTACATACACGTGCACACATACACCCACACACACTTTGCAAGTCAGATAGCATTCGATTGACAATTACTGTCACATTTAACTTTGCTATGCCCCTTTGAATATGCACTTAGATAAAAAACTTTTCTCAGTATCTTAAATTAATGTATGGAGCCATGGAGTCCTATTCTTATAGCTAGAGTTGGCGCTGTGTAAAATGGCTATTACGAGACATCTCTTGTTCACAGGATGACCTGGTTTTTCAATTTAGAAAATCATCTCGTATGTTAAGGAACTAAAATGACATGGTCAGTAAAGCACAGACATGGATGGTACGGATCTAGTTAGCGGGCTGACATATTGCATCATGAACTATTCATACATGAAGTTTTCCATTATTTTAAAGGGCAGCCTGATTGAAATTGAGATTCACTATGTTAATTCTTAAACATACATAGTGTTTAGATCAGGAAGTAACTTTGGTGGTTATCCTCAGTACATCCTTTCTTCCTGTGCATATTCATCCTTTTGTTACGGGAGCAAAGCAATTGGTTCTCTTTTATTTATTTATTTTATTTCTCGAGACAGGGTCTCGCTCTGTCACCTAGGCTGGGGTGTAGTGGCCCAATCTCAGCTCACTGCATCCTCAACCTCCTGGGTTCAGGAGATCCTCCTGCCTCAGCCTCTCATGTAGCTGAGACCGCAGATGCACGTCACCGCACCAGGCTAATTTTTAAAAAATTTTTTGTAGAGATGGAGTCTCGCTGTGCTGCCCAGGCTGGTCTAGAACTTCTGAGCTCAAAAGATCCTTCCCCATCAGCCTCCCAAAGTGTTGGAATTACAGGTGTGAGCCACTGTGTCTGGTCTGTTATCTTCTATTTTCTAAAATTCATTGGAATAAGTCATATCCCAAATTAAGATTTAACAGCCTATAAACATTTCTTTACAAGTGCTTTTTTTCCCGAAAGACTATCAAAATAAGAACAATATTTTTCTAAAGTTGATATTTAGAAATCTTTTCCAAAAACTATGTAATAATGTGCACTTCATAGGATTGTAATCTATTAACCTGATAACAGTGCTTGACACACAATAGGTAGTAAATACTTGGTATTTGTCATTGTTCGTTGTGGACACTACTTAAAAATCTCTCATTGTACACATAAAATAGAAAATAAATAAGTTTAATGGCTTATTCCTGGTAATGATAAATAAATAATAAAATTTATTTTACATTTATTTATTTATTTGTTTATTTTGCTATCTGACTAGCAAAGCATGTGTGGATGTATGTGTGCATGTGTATGTACATGCACACATGTATACACACAGAGACAGACATTCCTCTCTGATAAATAT
This sequence comes from Homo sapiens, assembly GCF_000001405.40. Lineage (NCBI taxonomy): Eukaryota > Metazoa > Chordata > Mammalia > Primates > Hominidae > Homo > Homo sapiens. The sequence goes on from NC_000023.11 coordinate 33,384,663, forward strand.
AATAAATAAAATAAATAACAAATAAATAAAAAAAGTCAAGACCAGAAGCAAAATATCCTGGCTGTCAGTCTGGTGCTCCTTCCCAAATTCAGTACCTCTTCTCTAAGACACATTTAGAAACAAGAATATCGAATGATAAATAATCAATAAAACCTAGTTATTGAAATTATATCATTATGGAAGTAACTAGTATGTTTCATACAATCAGAAACCATTAAAGGTCGACAAAGTTATAATAAACCATATGTTAGACAGTTATAGCTACAAGTAATAATATACACAACTTGTCACTAGCAGACACCAAAATTTGAAAGTGACCTCCATCAGTGGACACTGAGAAAGTGAAGAATCTGGCAGTTCAAATAGGGCCACATTCTTATTTGTGGGTCTTTATTTTCCTCCAAAAGACTCCATGTCCTCCTCCCCTAAATTCATTTAGGTCAATTGTGTCACCCCACATCACAGTGTCCAATTTTCATGGATGTGTAAAAATTAACTGGACTGAAGAAAATGCAGAAAGAAAGAGAAACAGACAAGTTATGCTTCCCAATTATTGTATTCGGTGGTCCTACAGATGTCATAAACAGATTATCTCAACAACTAAAATAAAAATGCTTTACTTCTACTATTCTATTCTCTCTACCAGAAAACATTCTGTTATATTCATGACACCTTTAAATATAAATTATCTAAGAGCTATAAGATATCCATATATTCATTCTCAGAACAAAACAAAAAAGTGTGAAAATACCAAGGAAACAAAAGTGGATAGTTTTGAGAATTTATCTCCAAAATATTCATTTGGCAATTCCAGAAGTATTCTATCACTCCCTCCTCAGTCACTAATCCTACCACCACCCAGATTCATCTGGGAAGAAATACCATATTAGTATTATCTGCACTAGGTAATTATCTGCACTACATCAATTATATTATGGCTACACAGCATTTTGTGAGATGACCCAGGAACTTAACTGCCATAAGTTCCAAACAACTGATTCACAGTTGGAAGCTGCATACATTTTGGCTCAAGAAAGAATCCCTCATGGAGATGTGAGAGAGAGAAATATGAGTGCCAGGCCTACCACGTCAGCCAAATTGGCCTCAGCAATCACTGGGGCAGCACATGTTGTATCCAGAGTGTCTCCATAACTATATTGTTTTCCTTTAATTATGAGCATACAAAATTCAGGCACTGGGATAATGAGAAACAGCAGAAAAATAAGGGCCTATAACATAGAGTCATGTGCACCGAAATGATGTCACAAATAGATGCAGCACCATCGTGAAGTAATGTCACAACATAGCTAAATAGCACAAAGATAATTTAAGCACAGATCTTCTGGAAAGTACACAAATATGGATAACACATATAATAGTGTCCTACACTAGGTATAACAGAGTTATTTTGGTAAGACAATGAGAACGATTAAAAAAAAACATGCCCAAACATATGGATTCTTCACAGAGGTAAGCTCACATTTTAGCTTCTATATTTGTGTCATTTATCACAGATCTTAAGATGGCTCCTGTCCAAGGCATTGTGTATTTAGAGTCAATAACTGTTAAGCTATCTCAGAAAAACATACAGGCTTTTATTATAACCTGAAATTCACAAGAAAATGCTAGGATTTAAAACATGTATTTCTAATATTGTAGGTTAGAAATCTGAATTTGGGGGTTTCTCTCATCATATATGGACTACCAGGGCTATAAGGAGCTATAGTTTTAGTGTGGGTAACCCTGTCATTTTTGTCCTGGGCAACTCTTGAAAAAAGTTATGCCAAAATCACAGTTTTTTTGGATGAAACATTTACAACTGGAAAAAGATCAAAGTCAACACCTTGAATAGAGCCCAGAATCTGATTGGTAACTGATCTGGATATAATTCACGGATGTTACACGCTCTATGCTTTTGGCTCTTCCATCTGCTCTGCATCATTCTTATTTTGAATAGCTAGCACTTCAGTCAGTTCATGCTAATCTAATATTCCAAACTGGACACTGGGATCATAGGACCAAATTATCTGCCTTAAATGAAAAAGACGAATATATCCAAAGAATACACGACTACATGGCTATATGTGCATATCACTGGGGAAGAAATTGTCTTGGATTTTTAATTTTTTTTAACAGTTGAATAATTTAAGACATCATATATGTAACATTTTCAATCATGGTATCACAGAGTCTTGCATTAGCATATAGTTTACAGAAATCTAGTCTATACTTACCTAACAGTAATTTACACTAACTGTGTCTGAACACAGGGCTAATTCCAAAAATTAAACAACATCATGTTTCTAGACATAAAAGTAAGTAAGATATTATTACTGACTTTTAGGGGACTGGAGGCAAATGTGGGATAAAAAGGTGGAAAACGATAGCACATATATTAGTGCTTATATCATATATGCAAAATAAAAGGTAATTGCTAATGTAGATTGTCAACAAGTCATGGTGGTTCAAAGGAAAATAAAGAACATTATATCAGGCTGGGGAAGGTGAGGTAAAGATAGATTTCATGTAAGAGGTTGTACTTAACAGGGTCTTGAATGAGGGCTGATAATGTTAAAGACGTGATAATCATTTATAAGAAAGAACCTTGAAAGTGACAATCTACCTTAAGGATATAACACAAACATATATACCAATATGAAAATGTTAGCCTACAGTGCATTAGAGATCTGTGGGCATAGTTCATTTCAAATAGAACAGAAAGAAAATATCAGGGAGAGTATGGGGCATAAAGACAGAAGCTCAGTTTGACGTCATGCACAAAACATCAAAGCAAGAAAATTTTACATAAAACTATAAGCAATGGGGAGTCATTAAATTTATGGAATGGAAAGTCAACACTATTAGAACTGCTCTTAAGAAAGAGATTTATTTCCAGAAAATATAATTTACAGGAATATTACATAGATAATTATCTAGTGACTATGTAAGAGGCTTTGAAAGATTTTAGGACGTAATGCAGGTTGATGACATTGGTAATGTTTAGGAAGGGAGAAGAGAGAGAAATATTAAGTCAGACTCTATGGACTTTGGCAATTGAATTGGAGGCTAAAAACAGAAGTGGAGAGGGATTATGATATGAAGGGACCCATGGGTCACCATCTCTGGTCTTGGCCCACCATTGTGTACTAAGAGTTACTTCTTCTTATAACAATAATGGTTACTTTTGTTATATATCTCAAATAATTCTGAACTAGATGAAGTTCTTGTAAGAAAAAAAAGGAGGGAGGAAAGATATACTCTTCTTCTCCCTCTGCCCCCAGGCCCCCGCTATCCCCTACAGATTGCCAGGCCATTGGAGAGACATAGATAATGAAAAATTACCAGGGAACAAAAAATTAAAAAAAGACATATTGATATGATACAATATTCAAGTAATTATTGAATGCAAAAGAAGTCACAACAAAAATGCTTAAAATATGATTAAAAGAGATTAGAACATTTATATTTCTGGTAATATGATGTGCACATATCAGTGTGAATAAAAAATGCTGAATGGAATTGTGTAAACTGAATTATCACCAAGTGAGTTACGCTAAAATATTCATAGTTTTCTTTTTGATCCTTATGAAAATTACATGACTTTGATGGTAGAGCAAATATATAACCATTAGATGTCATATATTTACATATACTACTCAAATACTCTTCAATTAGTCCTAAAAATTGCACCTACATGGCTCTTTATATTTCCCTAATGCTATGTTTATGGGTGAAAGAATAACTGTGCTTTTACCAGAACTAGGGTAATGAATATGAGCTTATTTAGCAAAAGATGGTAAGTTCAGTTTGGGCTAGAGTTTGATGAACTACTTGGATAGTCTAGAGAAAATAACCACTAGAAAATATGGGGCTGAAGTTGTGAAAGACATCAAAATCAGAGATTTAAATTGTTTTTTTTTTAGAGACGAGGGGATTAAATTACTATTGAAGAGTGGAGAAAAAAGGTGGTCAAGTTCGGATATCAGAACATTTGCTTGAGAAGATATATCAGAGTAAAAGCTCTTGGATATAGAAAGAAAATTATAATCTGAGTCTATAATTGTTATGAAGTATGCCTGTATTTTCCTTATGGAATTTGATGTCAAAAACACAATTTCAAGTATCTTCTGATGGGTATGCCACAATATGGTCTGGCTATTTGGAGAACACTCTTTGATACCAGCAGTGATCGAGAGGAACGCATGCAAAAGAGGACATGTTCTGACTGAAGAGTTACAGGGTACTTTGCAGGCATCTTTCTGGCTCTAGAACTGAATTATTTTCACACAAAAGAAACAAACCTCAGTCTGGCAATTAATGTGCTATCTGTGTTAGTAGTTCACTGTTAATAGTCTAATGAGCAGAATATCAGTTTGGAATACCACTTTATTTAAAATCTACAAGCCACACATAAGACATATATAATAATTAGGGATCCTAAAATGAAAGTCAAATATTCTCAACCATGCATGTGTGTGCGTGTATGTGTTTGTATGCATATTTAGACATTTTGTAAATCACCAAAGATTTAATTTAGATAGAGGAAGGTTGGAGGTAAGGTGCATATGGGGAAATTGACTAAGAGGATCTTCACATGAGCAAAGAATCCAGGAGGGCCTGGTAGCAAGAAAAATAAAGCAATTTGCAGACAAAAGAATTGTCTGTACTACAAGGAAGAGAAGGCAGGAAAAGGAACATTTTCTATCCATCCATTCACTTATTCATTCAATATATACTTATTGAATACATCTTAAGTGTCAAAGACTGTTTTAGCAGTAGGGTTATAGCAGTAAACAACACAAATTTCATATTCTCAAGAAGCATGCATTTGGGGATGGGGATCCATTTTACAAATGAAACGTTAAAGCCAAATATAAAGTTCTATGTTAGATAGGATGGTCAGAGAAAGCCCGTATGGGGAGTGATGTAGACAAAGTGAGAGAGGAATCCATACAAACTTTTTGTCAGTAAAAGGGTGATCATCCTAGACAAAGGAAAACATTGACTGCAAAAGCCCTAAGTCAGGAACATGCTTGGCAGAGTCAGTCAAGAAAAATCAAGAAAGCTAATAAACTTGGAACAGGGCAAATCATAGGGAAAAGGATGGGAAATGAGATAGAACAGGGATCCAAAGGCCAGATAAGATAAATCTTACAGGCAAAAGTTAAGAACTAGAATTTTGTTGTAAGGCTGGCATGAAGCAATTAGACAGACATAATCTGCCATATGTTTTACAAGAAACTCTCCGGCTGCATTGTGAATAACAGACTGAAGGCGGATATAATTGGGAGTAGTAAAACAAGTTAGGATGCTACTGTAGTTGTCTAAGTGAGAATAATTGAGGATTGGACTAGATGAGACAATTAGTGAGATGCCTCTGAAGACTGGTTCTCAAAGTGCAACCTGGACCAGCAGCATCAACAACCCTTGGAAACTGGTGACATGTACAGATTATCAGATCCTGCCCCACCTACTGCATCAGAGACTCTGGGAATGAGACCCAGCAATCTGAGTATTAACAAACCCAGTAGGTGATTCCAATGCCTGCTAAAGTTTGAGAACTGCTGCTTTACAAGTAAAGGCTCCCCTAATTCTGATTTGGGTTCTGAATCATTCGAGCACTTTTGTGTCACTCAGTAAATTAAATGTACATGTGTATGTATGCATGTAGTATAAGAAATATTGGCCTTAAAACGTAGGAAATTATTTAATGAGGACATTTGGAGCAATGTGAAGTAGAAAAAAATTAAATATGGGGTGTATAACCCATGTGCACATTGTCTCAGTACCTAAAAACTGAATTTCTTGCTCTAAATGCAGGCCACATTCTGATTCATTTATAATACGGTATCATGCTACTTTAGAACAAGCTTTAATTTAAATTGCCAGCACTCTTTCATGCAAAAAATATAGTTGAATTTAATGATCTCATTATAAGTGATAAACAATTACTCTGCAGATTTTCAGGCAAGCCATATTTTCATTTTTTAAAAAGTCACTTGTGTTACCAGTGATGGGCATCTACATTAACAAAAACTGTAAACCACAAATCTACATGAGTTGTATATAATTAATGAGTACCACAGTCTAAAATATAGAAATGAGAGGTGACTAAAACCCTGAATATTTTGAGTTGCTGTTTTGAGCAGAAAGCATAATAGGTCATAACAGAGGCTTCAAAATCAAGAAGATTCTAGAAGGTTAATTACCAAAAATAAACCCACTGGGGAAAGCCTCTCTGACTTGATGGTCTGCATTTCCCCTTGTGATTACATTTAACATATATTTCAGGGTCCCTTTGCTGGAAGAAAAAAAGTGAAGAAACAATTAAAAACGTTTAGTATTAACACAATAAAAGTTATTTTAAATACATATATGTATGTTTGTTTACCTATGCATCTATCTGCATTAAAAATGACTGTACATTTATATACTCCTCACTGAAAATACATTGTGTCTCAATTACCACTCTGATGAATAGGAGATAGATTTAGAATATTGCTGTACATCCCATTGTGTTTACACTGGGGATTTTGGCAACCTCATAGGACCCCCAGGAACAGATAGGCTGGTTTTGCATTAGAGCTATCTGCCAGAAGATAGTGTTCAAAGGGTACGACGGGCTCTCTTGATCACTGTGGTAATGTATATTCACAGTATATTCAGAAGACAGGGAAATACACTTGACGCCATATATGTTTTTGTTCATACATATAATTTAATTTTTCCAAGAAAGGGCCAAAAGATAGACAAAATACAATTGATGTGTGATTTCTGCAGCTTGATCTTCCTTTCTGGTATTATTGTCTTTTGCTGTCTTTCACTGTTACGATTTACCATTTTCTCACTGAGATTTTACAAGCATCTCCTATATTATCGGTTTTCAGACATGGTTTCAATACACACCCTTAACAAACTGGAGCATCCAGAGTAGGAAGGAGAGAACTGGCACTAGAAGTTGTGCTTAAGTTGCCTGTGACCACTAGTAAGTGACCATAAAAATGTGGGCTCCCCATAGCATATCCACTTCTGACACTATATTCCAGCAGAAAAAACAAATGTCAAAGAACCTCTAGGACCCAAATGTTTCACCACTTTCCTTATCTTCCAGATGTGATCACATCTTACCATGACTTTGAATTGATTTTCTAAAAGAACTTTGAACATTCCCTGTAATGTATCAAACTAAACATAAACAGTCTGCACTGGAATTGTACAGGTTACATAACTTTATCTCAAAATTTATATGTTAGGGATATATTAATATTGCTATTTATCCCTTATTCTCTACTCAACTCTACTAATGAATATTCACTGAATGTATTCAGAGCTCCTTTCTTCCTCCGTTTCTCTACTCATGAGTCTCATGTATTAATAATTTGCATTGTAAATATACGTGTACAAATCCTTGTGCTCAATATTTAAAGAAATTTGAAAAGAGGGAAAGAACATTAACTAAAACTTGCCATGAATCATATGAGGATGGTATTATAAAAACACTGTTAAAATATTTAAATTTTTTTTCATAAATGAAGAAACAGATTTAGGGAATATTTCATTGCACTAGGTTACTTGTCTATGGTCATCCAACTAGAAAGTAGTGGAATCCAGATTTAATCTTAGATCTGATACTGAAGCCTCTAGGTTCTTCCTCTTTTCCATGTTGCTTATCCTATCCCTTTCAAATAGTGCACATTATAGACTGTAAAGTCTCAAGAGCAGCAATCATCTCTATTGATTTTTGGCCTATCCATCCACTTAGCACATAATATATACACAATTATTCACCAAAATTTAACTATATATAAAATCAACTGCTAAAGGAATCTAGTATCTTACATAATACATCTAGTAGGTGAATAACAATAATATAAAAAAGTACACATTAAATGCCAACCATTACATTAAAAGAACAAAAAAGAAAGATTGAAATTAATTCTGTCTCACAGAACAGGTCAGACAGGTAGGAGACACTGTTGATGTCCCATTTAGATAGGCTTTTAACAGCTCTGTGAATCTCTGCCCCAGTTTCTTCACACTTTACTGCTAAAAGCTGACTCCTGGGACATTGTGAAGATTATTCTTGAGCACTAGAGGGGGCAATCAAGAAGTAACCCCCCAGAAATACAAAAAACCTCATAGACTATTATGAATACCTCTATGCATACACACTAGAAAACTGAAAAAAAAATTGATAAATGCTTGGAAACATATAACTTCCCAAGATTGAACAAGGAAGAGACTGAATCCTTGAACAGACCAGTAATGAGTCCCAAAATTGAATTAGTAGTAAAAAGCCTACTAATCCAAAAGAGCCCAAGACCAGATGAATTCACAGCCAAATTCTACCAGATGTATAACAAAGAGCTGGTCCCATTCCTACTGAAACTATTTTTTTTTTTTTTTCTGAGATGGAGTCTGTCTCTGTCGCCCAGGCTGGAGTGCAGTGGCACCATCTCGGCTCACTGCAAGCTCTGCCTCCCGGGTTCATGCCATTCTCTGACCTCAGCCTCCCGAGTAGCTGGGACTACAGGCACCTGCCACCACACCTGGCTAATTTTTTGTATGTTTAGTAGAGAAGGGGGTTCACTGTGTTAGCCAAGATGGTCTCGATCTCCTGACCTCATGATCCGCCCGCCTCTGGGATTACAGGCGTGAGCCACAGCGCCCAGCCCCTATTGAAACTATTCTAAAAAACTGAGGAGGAGGGACTCCTTCCTAAGTCATTCTACGAGGCTAACATCATCCTGATACCAGAAACTGGCAGAGATACAACAACAAAAAAAAGAAGACTCCAAGACAATATCCTCGGTGAACATCAATGCAAAAATCCTCAACAAAATACTGGCAAACCGAATCCAGGAGCACGTCTAAAAGCTAATCCACCATGATGAAGGAGGCGTTACACCTGGGATGCAAGGTTGGTTCAACATACACAAATAAATAAATTTGATTCACCACATAAACAGAACTAAAAAAAACACACATAATCACCTCAATAAATGCAAAAAAGGCTTTTGATAAAATTCACATCCATGTTAAAAATCTTCACCAAACTAGGGATTGAAGGAACATACTTCAAAATAGTAAGAGCCACAGCCAACATCCTATTGAATGGGCAAAAGCTGTAAATATTCCTCTTGAAAACTGGCACAAGACAAAGATGCCCTCTCTCACCACTCCTACTCAACATAGTACTGGAAATCTTAGCCAGAGTAATCAGGCAAGAGAAAGAAGTAAAAGACATCCAAATAGGAGGAGAGCAAGTCAAATTATTCCTATTTGCAGATGACATGATTCTATATCTACAAAACCCCATAGTCTCTGTCCAGAAGCTTCTTGTTTTGATACACAACTTCAGAGAAGTTTCAGTATACAAAATCAATGTATAAAAATCAGTAGTATTCCCATACATCAACAACATCCAAGCTGAGAACCAAATCAAAAATTCCACCCCATCTACAATAGCCACAACAAGAATAAAATACCTAGGAATACAGCTAATCATGAAGGTGAAAGACTTCTTCAATGAGAATTACAAAACATTGCTCAAAAAGAAATCAGAGATGGCACAAACAAATTAAAAATCATGCTTATAGAATCAATATCAATAAAATGGCAATACTGGCCAAAGCAATTTACAGATTCAATACTATTCCTATCAAATACCAATGGCATTCTTTAAATAATTAGAAAAAAACTGTTTTACAATTAATATGGAACTAAAAAGAGCCTGAATAGCCAAGAAAATCCTAATCAAAAACAAGAAAGCTGGAGGCATTACATTACCTGACTTCAAAATATACTATAAGGGTATAGTACCCAAAACAGCATGGCACTGGTAAAGAAACAGACACATAGACAAATGGGACAGAATACAGAACCTAGAAATAAGGTCACACACCTACAATCATCTGGTCTTTGACAAACCTGACAAAAACAAGCAGTGGGGAAAGGGCTTCCTATTCAATAAATAGTGCTGGGATAACTGGCTAGCCATAGGCAGAAGACTGAAACTAGACCCTTACTTACAACATATACAAAAATGAACTCAAGGTGGACTAAAGACTTAAATCTAAAATCAAAAACTATAAAAACTCTGGAAGATAACCTAGTAAATACTATTCTGAACATAGAACCTGGCAAAGAGTTCATGACACAGATGCCAAAAGCAATTGCAACAAAAGCAAAAATTGACAAATGAGACCTAACTAAATTAAAGAGCTTCTGCACAACAAAAGAAACTATCAACGGAGTAAACAGACAACCTACAAGATGGGAGAAAATTTTTGCAAACTATGCATTGGATAAAGGTTTAATATCCAGAACCCAAAAGGAACTTAAATTTACAAGAAAAGAAGAAAAGAACAAACAACCCCATCAAAAAGTTGGCAAAGACATGAACACTTTTCAAAAGAAAACATACACGTGGCCAAAAAGCAAATAAAAATGCTCAACATCACTAATCACTAGAGAAATGCAAATCAAAACCGCAGTGAGATACCATCTCACATGAGCCAGAATGGCTATTGTTAAGTCAAACAATAACAGATTCTGGTGAGGTTGTGGAGAAAAGGGAATGCTTCTGCACTGCTAGAGGGAATGTAAATTAGTTCAACCATTTTGGGAAGCTGTTTGGTGATTTCTCAAAGAACTTAGAATTACCATTGGATCCAGCAATCGCATTATTGGGTATATACCCAAAGTAATATAAATAGTTCTGCATAAAAACACATGCACGTGTATGTTCATTCTCAACACTACTAACAATTGTAAAGACATGGAACCAACCTAAATGCCCATCAATGGTAGCCTGGATAAAGTATGGATATACTGGATAAAGTATATGGATAGCCTGGATAAAGAAAGTATGTATATTTCCAAAGTAAATATACACCATGGAATACTATGCTGCCAAAAAAAAAAGAATCAGATCATATCCTTTGCAGCAACATGGATGCAGCTGGAGGCCATTATCCTGCACAAACTAACACAGGAACAGAAAACCAAATACCACATGTTCTCGCCTATAAGTGAGAGCTAATCATTAAGTACACATGGACACAAAGAAGGGAACAACAGAAACAGGAGCTTACTTGAGGGTGGATGATAGGAAGAGGGTGAGGATTGAAAAAGCACCTGTTGAGTACTGTACTTATTAGCTGGGTGACAAAATAATATGTACATCTAACCCCCATGACACTCCATTTACCTACATAGCAAACCTGTACATATACCTCTGAACCTTATATATATATATATATATATATATTTCTATTTTTTAAAAATTATACTTTAAGTTCGGGGATACATGTGCAGAACGTGCAGGTTTGTTACGTAGGTATATATGTGCCATGGTGGTTTGCTGTACCCATTAACCCGTCATCTGCATTAGGTTTTTCTCCTAATGCTATCCCTCCCTTTTCCCCCTACCCCCTGACAGGCCCCACTGTGTGATGTTCCCCTCCCTGTGACCATGCGTTCTCATTGTTCAACTCCCACTTATGAGTGAGAACATGTGCTGTTTGGTTTTCTGTTCCTGTGTTAGTTTTCTGAGAATAATGGTTTCCAGCTTCATCCATGTCCCTGCAAAGGACATGAATTCATTTTTTATGCCTGTATAGTATTCCATGGCGTATATGTGTCACATTTTCTTTATCCAGTCTATTACTGAAGGGCATTTGGGTTGGTTCCAAGTCTTTGCTGTTGTAAATAGTGCTGCAATAAACATACATGTGCATGTGTCTTTATAGTACAACGATTTATAATCCTTTGGGTATATATCCAGTAATGGGATTGCTGGGTCAAATGGTATTTCTGGTTCTAGATCCTTGAGGAATCGCCACACTGTCTTCCACAATGGTTGAACTAATTTACACTCCCACCAACAGTGTAAGTGTTCCCATATCTCAACATCCTCTCCAGCATCTGTTGTTTCCTGACTTTTAAAAATATCTTATAAAAGGAAAAAAAGAATTAAAAAAAATGTGATTTGCAAAGAGACTAATGTGTAGGCTGCCTTGTTTGTAGTAGTAAATCATTTCAGAGAGAAGGTTAAAGAGATGATAGGCATTTTCAAAGAAGTAATAAAGTCTTTATTTAGTAGATACGTGTAAGACATTGAAAGTTTATTTTCCCCCTACATTGAATAAAATGAGTAGGTGTCTATATTTCTGCCTCCATACATTTTAACAAGTAACATTCTAATTGTTTTTCAAGATTGCTTGCCATGTTTCTATATTATTCTTGATATTTCTCTTGATTCCGAAAACCTAAAGGTATTCTTCTTCCTCTTCCCAGTCATTTGTGTGTACTCTTTCTCTATATAAGAAACTTTGACTTTTGTCATAATTCATTATATACTTCTGGCCTAATTTACAGTAAATGTAAGTTTTCTCAATGCAGAGTCAATTTCCAATGACTTCATTCCCGAAACCTTTGCTACTGTCTTTTCCATGGAGTCTATACCCAGTATTTAACGAATTAAATTGAAAACTAAATACTAAACTCTAGATTTTATTGCATATCACCTTTCTTCCTCCTCCACACGCCCTTTGATAGGAATAGGATAGCAGGTGCTCAGAAATATTTTTGCTTCTTTCTCAATACAATGTAGGCATCTATTTTGACATTCTATAGAATAGCAAGGTCATTCAATCAATGGTTATCTGAATATCCTCTCATCTGCAATTCTCTGGGCATGGGGGAGGAGAGAAGAGAGATGTAGAGAGAATATTTCATTGCTCTTTCTATTGTTATAAAAACAATCTAATTTAGGTTCTTCCTTATTAAAGCCCTGATTAAAAATAACAGTAAAATAAATCATATACGACTCATTTTTAATTATTCTGTACTGTAATAGAAGGGTTCCTGTTATTTGCAAAGTCTACAAATATTGGTCAGTAAATTAAATGATGAATTCTGAGAAAAATCCCATCTAATTACATCTAGATAAATTGACTTAGTGCTGAAGTGACTACTTAGGAGCGTCAGTAGCATCCTTTCTATAAATTATGCCTCCAACAGAGTATATTCTACTTCTTTTGCATAGGAAAAAGTTCTTCATAGTCACCCTGGTAGTGACTACTACAAGAGATGTGTGGCAGTTTAAAATGATGCTTTAAGTAGATTTAATACCTATTATCTATTTTCTCTTGATTTTTCTGCTGCCCCGCTATATTATTTTTTCTGCTAGGAAACTTGAAGGGCATCTATACAATTTTAAAAGGACACACTTTAGAACCAAGTGTTTCTGGCTTTAGAACAAAGCAAATAATATATGAACTTGAAATCATTAGAAGTTTTGTTCTTGTGAAAAATTCAATAAAATATACAATATTGATCATTGACCCAAAATGCCTTTAATAGTTTCTATTTATATGCTTTCATGTTAAAATATAATTTTTTTTTACTTTTAGCTCAAATATCTTATTCATGAAGGCTTCTCTTGAAGAGACAATTAGTATAATCAAATATCCCATGTCCTCTCTTACATTTCCCAGCTTTCCTGATAGTGATTTTGAAGTCATGTGACTTGTTCTGTCCAAGGGACTGTATAGTTGGATGCCTGTCATTTCTAGGTTTATAACTATTAAGTGCTGTTGGGCTTCTTTCATTCCTGCTTTCTTGTGACAATTTATACTAAGTGTAAAAGATGATGTAAGGAGAAGAGGGAGGAGGGCCAGCTAAACTACAATCAGAAAGATAACACTTGATTGTAGTAACACACTGAGTTTCAAGGCTTTGTCTGTTTTGACACTTAGCCTTATTTATCTTAAATAACATCCATTCCCTGATTACTTTCAATGTACAACCCAACTTTCCAGGTCATTCTATCACCCTTTTCTGTTTTCCTTAGCACTTGTTACCATGTAACATACTATAAATATCACTTTATTTTCTATAAACTTCAACTAGATCAAAAGCTCCATAAAGCAAGAATGCATTTTTGTTTCAGTTTAGTTTACTGCTGTATCCCTAAAAACTTGGGCTGTATCTGGAACATAGTAGATTCTCCACAACTTTGCTACTTGAGGAAGTTACCTAATTTCTTAGCCTCAATTATCCTTCTTATCGTATAGTCAAGAAGATAAATGAGAACATGTGTAAATCTTCTAGTTTCATATGTAGTATACATTTAAGACATTTAATGGATGAATATTTTAAGAAAACATCACCATCTGGTTATAAGATAAGCTCTACCATAAATTTTCTCAAGATGATCTTAAAATAAATTTTGAGCTATACACCGTAACATGTTTGTCCAATAAGTAGGATTCACGCTTTTTATTTGTATCACTGTTCTTTGCAATTTATCAAGATACAATGCAAACATGCATAAAAACACACATATTTTTATACACACAAACATAAGCACACACATATGTGTGTATGTTTGCCTATGTGTGTACATATGTATGTACCTGTGTATGTGTATTTATATTTGTATAGGTGTGTGTCTATGCATATATGTGTGGATATATATTTATATGAGATAAATAAGTAAACCTTATTTTTCTAGGTATCATCTAATAAATCTGCAGTTTCAATTCTCAATGCTGTGAGAGGACAAAGAAATGTAAATGTATGCTGAATAAACATCGGCTTTTCTTGAGGATAAATGTGAAGGGCAAAAAAGGTAGAGAAGAAGTAGATAATATGACAGTTACTGCTCTGAGTATACAATGTATATACTCTAAAGTTATCTTTGTTCATTTGACGTATCAAATGCAGGCAACATTTTGCCACTCTTCTAGCAGATGTCAATGCCTATCAAAAGATTTTTTTGAAGGGTGACTCAACCTAAGAAGAAAATCAAAGTAATTCAACATTATCTGCAGTAACACCTAAAACTCATTCCTTTCTGCTAAAATACTCCCTGAAGATATTTTTTCATCCCAGAACATTTCTCTCATACTAAACACTAATATCAGTAATACATTTTAACGAAAATTTATTTCATAATAAGGGAAAAAATGGAAAGAAGGTAAAATAAAATTATTAACCAGCATTGTGCTTGAAGACATTCTGAACAGGTCAGAACAGAAATAAACTTTCTAAATTTACTCAGAGAGGAAACAACTATACAGATACAGAAATATATTTTAGTTCTGACTTTTAATATATTTTACCTGTTTGAAGAGAAAAACTTCTACAGAGAATGGAACTAAAGCGAACATTTCTGAATCATACATTTTATTGTGTGAAATGTCCTTCATTTTCACATTGTTATTTACAGTTTATTTCAGAGGAAGTTACTGCATCTTAACTCTCACTTAACCATGAATGAAGGAGGTAAGAGAAAATAATAGAAATAAATGAAAAATACGTAAATGAAGAAAGATCATTAGGTGTACACTCAGTAGAGCTATGTAGGTGGAGAGGTTTCAAGGGATCAGAGACCTACATATGAGTATTAATACTCATGGTAATTATATTTTCTACTAATGTTTTAAAGGCCTCACTGTTACACACTAAAAGTCATGAAGAATGAGATTTCACTAAAGTTTTATAGAATTCCAAACAATAATTTTCCCTACATAGTCCCTTTACTGTGAAGCAGTGGAAAACCGAGAACCAAAACCCTCAGATGACTGATTTTTATAAGGGCCATTGCCATATTCTGTTTTACCTGCTGAGTGTTTGAGTGTTTTCAAAGGCAATGTAATACCAGAAATGAAGCACCAAACCAGACTAAAGCATCCATATGCCCTAGATTTTCTGTGAAAAAATTGCAGTGCTGGATTCCTGCTTTAGACGATATTCCCTGTCTTGTCAAAAATAAGCCCAAAATATCAAATTTCAAAATTCACAGATAAACTTCAGTCCTCATAAAAAAAATAAAGTTGGGAAAGAAAGATTGAAAGTACACTAAGGCAAATCCTTAGGAATTTTCATGTGCCTTTAAAAATAAAACAAGTTAAGTCAATCTGCAGCATAAAGAAAATACAAATGACATCTCATTGGGCTTCTTTTCATACTTGCTTCAATGACAGTTTTATTCTTCTTTATTGATGTGCTGAGGATGCTCACGAGCTTTTCTACTTTCATTTGGAACAAGGTTATGAAAATTTAAACATATTGCTTCTAAATACATTTTCCTTTCTGCCAACTTGGCAGTATTTACCCCAATTTTATTTCCCACCTCTTTGTTGCATATTTAGTGGACTCACTTCGATTTCAGTGATTCTCATAGGTTGCTATTCATTAAAATAATCACTTCAATGAATGATACAAAATATTAGTGTTGAGGGAAGGCAGAGAAGTGAAACTAGAAGAAGAAACAACAAGATCCATCACTTTTAGTGATATGAAAAAATGATATGGTGACAATTCTTTTATTTGTCTATTCTTAACAACCAGCTATTAAGCTAGGTTCCATTTGGAATATATACTGTTAAAAATAGTATACAGAAGTAGATTTTACATATTCTACAATTTGCACAAGGGAATTTATTTTGGTACATCATTAATATATTGTCTAGTGACAACATATCTAACTCATGCAGAGAAGACGAAGGAAAGAAGAAAGAGAAATGGAGAGAGTGAAGAGGGAAGGAGGAAATGAGGAAGAGAAAACAAATTGCATAGTGCTGTCACACTCACTATTCCCCTATGTACCTCTCTCTCCTCAAGGAACTAAGAGAAAAGATCTGTAGTTTCTTTTGCAATTTCAGCTCCTGAGCCCTTTCTTGCATAGTGTCCATCTACGAATGTGACCTCCTTGTCATGCAATAATTTATAGTAGCTTAAGAATTTTCAATATTAATTTAAGCTGCACTGGTTTTCCACGTTACGCTCTGAGTTCCGAATCAAACTCCTACTTAAAGTCTGACTCCAGTGTACTTTCTAATCTTAAAGAATATAAATAAGAATTGTAATGATAAAATAGATGGGGGATTATTGAATTGTTAATTGCCTACTAGTACTACAGTGTAATATTGCAGATTTCAAATGTGTAAATTAGACAAATGAAACCAGGCTCAACGAATTTTTCGGATGATGGAATGAGATAACATACATTAAGTCCCTGGTGCAGGGCCTTTCTCATAACATGAAAACAAAAATCTGAAGTTAATATGATTATCTGCAGGTTTGATATTTATTTTTCTCTTGCCTGGATCAGCATTAAATCTTTACATAAGTTTAGAAAGTTTGCATAATATAAATAAGCTACCTAAGCAGGTTGCATCTTTAAAGTTCATTTGCCAAAAACTTTCATAGAAGTGAGAAAAACATTTCTCATAAAATATTACCAGTTGTTATGACTCATATTAATTGAAAGTCTACTATGTCTTAGATTTGGTAATAAGAGCTTTATATGTCATTTTGTTTAATCTTCATAGTAATTATGGAAATAAATATTTTTCTTTTATAGATGAAGCTTCTGAGGTGCAGAGAGCTATAGTAACACATCTAAGGTTAAGTGGCAACTGAAGTATGTTATGATGCTGTTATGACACATATTAATTGAAGGTCTACTATGTTTTAGACTCTGTAATGAGAGCTTTATATGTCATTTTGTTTAATCTTCACAGTAACTGTGGAAATAAATAATTATTTTTATTTTATAGTTGAAACTTCTGAGGTGTAGAGAGCTATAGTAACACATCTATGGTTAGGTGGCGACTGATGTATGTCCGACTTTAAAACCAGTGTTTTGTTTACAGTCAGCTTACATTAGTTGATGATATATACCATAGAGCATATAGCGATTATGCATCATCTTAGGGTTAGTGTCAGTGCTTCCTGGTATCCTCTATCTATATTATTGTTGTAATGAAGTGCTTTTTATACACTGAAAATGGAATATGTCAGCATTGTTGAAACATGGCTTCCATTTTGTAATTCCCAGAGGGACCCGTTTGTAATTTAACAGATATTTTCCTATAAAGAACAAAGTATGCCTGATCAAGTAATAAAAATCTCTCATAATAATTCTCATATCCACTTCAAGGAATATATATATATATATACACACACACATATATATACACATATATACATCTATATATATACACATATATATACACATATATACATCTATATACGTACATAGTAGTTTAAGAATTATCAATATTAATTTAAGCTGCACTGGTTTTCCACATTACACTCTGACTTCTGAATCAAATTCCTACTTAAAGTCTGACTCCAGTGTGCTTTCTAATCTTAAATAAATAAGAATTGTAATGATAAAATAGATGGGTATTATTGAATTGTTAATTGTATATAAACGTGTGTATATACACATATATACATATATACACGCATATGTGTATATACGTATATGTATATATACATATATGCATATATATGTATATACGTATGTATATACATACATATATACACACATGTGTATATATGTGTATACACACACACTTTTTTTTTGCATTTCTGCATTATCACCAAAACTGGTTTGATTAGCAAAAACTAGTCAAACACAGAGTCAAATAAATGACCATGAATATTATACCTTCCTTAAATAATACTTGTTTTTTAAAAAAACTCATAAATATAATTTTTCGTACCCTGGAATTTACTATAAATTGTCTATTCCACTGGAACCAAAGACATCTGATGTTTGAGGCACTAGTGACTTCCCATTTTTTCCAGTTTTTCTCCTTTCAGAACCATAATGGATATAAACCCACCCACTTCAGCTTGGTTGAGATTACATGATTTTTTTGACCAATAAAATGCAAGTGAAATTTATATCATTCTTGATCTTTGTGAGATCAAATGAATAACATAAGTATCAAGTGAATCATACATTTAATCGTAAGTACCAAATGAATAACATGCCGATTCTGAAGAGCATCCCTGAGCCTTCACATGGAAAATAGTTGTCTTGGATTGTTACCAAGAGCCACACAGACTTGATGTAAGGAAGGAAAAACATGGTTTTTGAGTCACTAAAATTTTTTGTTTGTTTAAAATTTTTAAATAAGTAAATGATACACTTGATGTAACAGGACACTACATCAGCACAGAGAAGTGAATTTCACTATTATGTAGGAAGTAAACATTTTCAATAAAATATTTACCAATGACAAACATTAGTGTGTATAATTATGTTTCCATATAGGTAGTAATTGATTACAGTTGTTTCACAAGTCACATTCTATATTCAGGCCAAAATATTGCAAATATCTTAAATGTTATACCTAGCAGTTTTCTAACTATGTGAATCATGGGTTTTCTTATTCCCCTCCACATCCTTAAAGTTTTTCAAAAATTATTTTTACTTTCAAATTTTAAATTTGCTGTCAAAAATTCTCTCATGTGTAGTATAAAGATTTAAAATCAAGAGAGACCGTATTCTATGACATATATGTATGTGCATATATACATATATTTCATATATTTTATGTACTGCATGTATATTATATACATACATGTGTAAATTATATAAAATATAATACATACATGCAAATTATATAAAATACATATGTAAATTATTTCCCAAAGGAAAACCCTGATAAGATTTTTGTTATTAATTACATTATGGTAAAAAAAAAACACTAACAGAAAACAAATATTCATACAAGATAAATTTTTAGCAACTGGCTATGTCCATACAAACACTACCACCATAATTTACAAAAAGTAAATCAAAATAGACAATGGTAAAATAAAAGAAAGCACAGTGCTTTTTGGATTCTGAACAATCAGAATTTTGTGTATTTAAAAGTCATTGTATGGTAGCAAATGACTAACTGACATTTTCTTTTTCAACTTTTAAGTTTGAGGTACATGTGCTGGTATGTTATATAGGTAAACTTGTGTCATGGGGGTTTGTTGCACAGATTATTTCGTGACCCAGGTATTAAGCCTTGTACCCATTAGTTATTTTTCCTGATATTCCCCTCCTCCTATCCTCTACCTTCCAGTAGGTCCTACTGTCTGTTGTGTCTGTTGTTCCCCTCTATGTGTCCACGTGTTCTCATCATTTAGCTCCCAAATATAAGTGAGAACATGTGGTATTTGGTTTTCCATTCCTGCTTTTCTTTGCTAAGGATAATGGCCTCCAGCTCCATCCATTTCCCTGCAAATGACATAATATTTTTTATGGCTGCATAATATTCCATGCTGTATATATACCATATTTTCTTTATCCAGTCTACTATTGATGGCCGTTTGGTTGACTGTAAGCCTTTGCTATTGTGAATAGTGCTGCAATGAACATATACATGCATTTATCTTTATGATATAAGGATTTATATCCCTTTGGGTATCTACCCAGGAATAAAATTGCTGGGTCGAATGTTAATCCTTTTTCACGTCTTTAAGGAATTGCACTTTGCTTTCCACAATGATCAAACTAATGTACACTTCCACCAACAGTATATAAGTGTTTCTTTTTCTTCACAACCTCATCAGTGCCTGTTAATTTTTTGACTTTTTAATAATAGCCATTCTGACTGGTGTCAGATGGTATCTCATTAGGATTTTGTTTCTCTAATAATCAGTAATGTTAAGCTTCTTTATATGCTTGATGGCCACGTGTATGTCTTCTTTTGTAAAGTGTCCATGTTCTTTGCCCACTTTTTAATGCTTTTTTTCTTATAAATCTGTTTAAGTTTCTCATAGATTCAGGATATTTATCAGATGCATAGTTGGCAAAAATTATCTCCCATTCTGTGGGTTGTCTGCTGATTTTGTTTCCTGAAAATTTGCTGAAGTTGTTTGTCAGCTTAAGGAGCTTTTGGACCAAGACTATGGAGTTTTCGACATACAGGACAATGGTGTCTGCAAAGAGGGATCGTCTGACTTCCTCTCTCAATGCCCTTCATTTCTTTCTCTTGCCTGACTGCTCTGGCCAGGACTTCCAACACTATGTTGAATAGGAAGGTGCCAGAGGGCATACTTTTCTGTGCCTGTCTTCAAGGGGAACGCTTCCAGCTTTTGCCCATTCCGTATGATGTTGACTGTCAGTTTCTCGTAGATGGCTCTTATTATTTTGAGGTATGTTCCTTCAATACCTCGTTTATTGAGAGTTTTTTTTTAAGCATGAAGGGGTGTTGAATTTTATCAAAAGCATTTTCTGCATCTATTGAGATAGTCATGTGGTTTTTGTCTTTAGTTGTTTATGTGATGAATCACATTTATTGATTTATATATGTTGAACCAACTTTGCATCCCAAGGGTAAAGCACACTTGAATTTGGAGGATATGCTTTTTGATGTGCTCCTGGATTTGGCTTGCCAGCATTTTGTTGAGGATTTTTGATTTGTTCACCAAGGTTACTGGCCTGAAGTTTTCTTTTTTGTCATGTCTCTGCCAGGTTTTGGTTATCAGGATGATGCTAGCTTCATAGAATGAGTTAGGGAGGAAGACTCAACCAGGAAGAAGTTGAATCCCTGAATAGACCAATAACAAGCTCTGAAATTGAGGCAATAATTAATGGCCTACTAACCAAAAAAAGTCCAGGACTAGACAGATTCACAGCTGAATTCTACCAGAGGTACAAGGAGGAGCTGGTACCATTCCTTCTGAAACTATTCCAATCAACAGAAAAAGAGGGAATCCTCCCTAACTCATTCGATGAGGCCAGCATCATCCTGATACCAAAGCCTGGCAGAGACACAACAAAAAAAGAGAATTTTAGACCAATATCCCTGATGAACATCAATGCAAAAATCCTCAATAAAATACTGGCAAACAGAATCAATGATAGACTGGATTAAGAAAATGTGGCACATATACACCATGGAATACTATGCAGCCATAAAAAAGGATGAGTTCATGTCCTTTGTAGGGACAGGGATGAAGCTGGAAAACATCATTCTCAGCAAACTATCACAAGGACAAAAAACCAAACACCGCATGTTCTTACTCATAGGTGGGAATTGAACAATGAGAACACTTGGACACAGGAAGGGGAACATCACACGCCAGGGCCTGTCGTTGGGGGTGGCGGGGGAGTGGGGAGAGATAGCACTGGGGGGAGTGG
Organism: Homo sapiens; assembly: GCF_000001405.40. Taxonomy (NCBI): domain Eukaryota; kingdom Metazoa; phylum Chordata; class Mammalia; order Primates; family Hominidae; genus Homo; species Homo sapiens. The sequence goes on from NC_000023.11 coordinate 33,406,615, forward strand.
GGAGGGATAGCATTAGGAGATATACCTAATGTAAATGGCAAGTTAATGGGTGCAGCACGCCAACATGGCACATGTATACGTATGTAACAAACCTGCACTTTGTGCACATGTACCCTAGAACTTAAAGTATAATAAAAAAAATCAACTACTTCATAAATCTCCAAGGTAATAAAACTGTAACCTTTAAACACTAAATAAATAAAAATAAAAACTGAAAAAAAAAAAAGAATGAGTCAGGGAGGAGTCCTTCCTCCTCAATCATTTGGAATAGTTTCTGTAGAAATGGTATCAGCTTTATTTTGTATATCTGATAGAATTCAGCTGTGAATCTGTGTGGTCCTGGCCTTTTTCTGGTTGGTAAGCTATTTATTACTGATTCAATTTTGGAGCTTGTTATTGGTCTGTTCAGGGATTCAATCTCATTCTGGCTCAGTCTTGAGAGAGTATATGTGTCCAGGAATTTATTCGTTTATTCTATATTTTTTGGTTCGTGTGCATAGAAGTGTTCATAGTAGTCTATGAGTGTTTTTTGTATTTCTGTGGGGTCAGTAGTACTATCTCCTTTGTCATTTCTAATTGTTTTTATTTGGATAGTCTCTCTTTTCTTCTTTAGTAGTCTAGCTAGAATTCTATTTTATTAGTTTTTCAAAAAAAGACCCCACAACTCCTGAATTCATTAATTCTTTGAATTTTATGTCTCAATCTTCTTCATTTCAGCTCTTTTTGATTATCGTTTGTCTTCTGCTAACATGGGGTTGGTTTGTTCTTGGTTCTCTAGTTCTTTTAGTTGTAATATTAGGCTGTTAAATTAAGATCTTTCTAACTTTTTCATGTGGGCATTTAGTGCTATAAATTTCCCTGTTAACACTGCCTTAGCTGTTTCCCAGAGATTCTGGTATGTTGTATCTTTGTTCACATTAGTTTCAAAGAATTTCTTGATTTCTGCCTTAATTTCACTATTTACCTAAAAGCCATTTAGGAGTACATTATTCAATTTCCATGTCATTGTATTGCTTTGAGTGAATTTCTTAGTCTTAATTTGTAATTTGATTGTGCTGTGGTCCAAGAGATTGTTTTTCATGATTTCAGTTCTTTTGCATTTGCTGAGGAGTGTCTTACTTTCAATTATGTGGTTGATTTTAGAATATGTGCCATGTGGCAGTGAGAAGAATATATATTCTATTACTTTTGGGTGGAGAGTTCTGCAGGTGTCTATCAGGTCCTTTTGATTCAGTGCTAACATTTGGTATTAAATATCTTTGTAAATGTTCTGCCTTGATGATCTGTCTAATACATTTGGTGGTATGAAGTCTGTCACTATTATTGTGTGGGAATCTATGTCTCTTTGAATGTCTCTAATAAGTTGCTTTATGAATCTGGGTGCTCCTGTGTTGGGTGCATATATATTTAGAATAGTTAGGTCTTCTTGTTGAATTGAACCCTTTACTATTATGTAATGCCTTTCTCTTTTTGATACTTGTTGCTTTAAAGTCTGTTTTGTGAAGTTAGGGTTGCAACAAATGCTTTTTGTTTTCCACTTGCTTGGTAGATTTTTCCTATCCCTTTATTTTCCACCTATTGGTGTCATGCAAGTGAGATGGGTCTCTTGAAAACAGCATGCTAATGGGTCTTGGTTTTTCATGCAGCTTGCCACTCTGTGCCTTTTAATTGGGGCATTTAGCCCATTTTCATTCAAGGTTAGTAGTAATATGTGTGCATTTAATCCTGTCATCATGTTAGCTGGTTATTATGCAGATTTTTTCTGTGTGGCTGCTTTATAATATCACTGGTCTGTGTACTTATGTGTGTTTTTTAGTGGCTGGTAATGGTCTTTCCTTTCCATATTTAGTGCTTCCCTCAGGATCTCTTGTAAGGCATACATATTGGTAACAAATTCCCTCAGCATTTGCTTGTCTGAAAAAGATCTTCTTTCTCTGAAGCAACACTTTCATTTGTAAGCATCACTTAATATGTTAAATTCTTTTAAAACTATTTTGGATCAAAACCCAAATTACAAATAGTTACAAATTTTACTTCATCCATGTATGGAGAAGAATGGAAAAATATCCATAGTGAGGTAAAGCTAGTACCTACTAGGTAACAATCTGATGGGTTCCTCATGATTTCTTTGCTTACACTAATAATGTTCTGACCTCTCCTAATACATTCTACAAAAAAATCATTTACTATAGACAGGAATCACTGATTTGCTTCAACTGCCATCTCATAAGAATTAAGTACACTGTGATGGTCTTATCCTGTACACAGAATGAAACACCCCATTTCTTGCCACACAGTTGATTTCACTGCTGGAGGAAACTTCAATCAAATAATTATCTCAGCCTTCAAAAATCCTTCACAACTGCATTACCAAATTAAAACATTTTATTTTAAATGTCAAAATACTTTTTAACATGCAACATTTGGATAGTGAAATTTCTTTTTTCTTACATTAATAACTTACCACTAGTTTAAAAGTTTAACTCAGAATGAATAAAATCTCTTCATTAGCTATACCATTGACTAAAGCTAAGAGATTTTATCAACTCATTCTTAGATGTTATGTGATACTTGGTGGATGTTTGTGTTTGGTAACAAAGAATAATTTTTGCTCAATTCTTATACTCATTACACTTTTGTGCACAGTTTATTTAGAAAATAGAAAAGACTATCTATGTTGTAAAGTATTATGAATCCCTAAGACAAGCTCATTTTCTGCCACATGGCTGATTCTTTAATAACTTGACCTAGGAATGGTTACTACTAGGGATTGTTGTAAAACTGGAGAATTATTTCTCTATATTTCCCTTTTCTCTGATAGCAAACAGGGTCTTAACCTGGCCAAGGATTCCTTGGGCTGCTACCCTTCCTTCTCCCCAAATTTGGTCTATTTTTTAAATGAGAAGCGCTTTGTTACCATGGCAAAAAGTTTTATATAAATAGGTTTATAGAGCACCTACTTTAGTCTAGCATTTGCTAATAAGTATCAAATGAATAACAAAAGCAACATCCATGCAGTCATATTTAACAAAGGAAAATATATATTCAAAATCATATTCTAAAGAGCCACAAAAATGCAGGATATAATTCAAGAGCAAATGAACATCAAGTATTCAACTGAGCATTGATTCTGAGTAAATCAGAGTCTTGTTATTTTTGTCTGCTATTCTCTTTAGAGCTCCACCAGTAAAAAGAATGGGACTACATACATCATTGAAGGATACATAGGGATAGATTGGAAATCATGGGTGTGTCTGTTTATAATCAATAAATTGATAAAATATTAAAAGAAAATAAAGCAGTACTCTATAATAAAATATAGCACAACTTCTAAGGAAATTTTTAATATTTAATTGCAAAATCAAAAGACAACAGTTTGCAAAATGTCTTTGAAAACAAACAAACCAAAGCTATTTCAAGTAATTACCCTATATTTTGGTGTCTCACATTTTCTGAGTATTACTTATGTGATGAATGCAATCAACCACCAAGATCTCTCTTCAAGAAAGGACTTTTTTCCTCCAGCTTTCATCTGTCATCCACTTCAGGGAATCCCTTTGCTGCAAAGAGACAAATTGTTCAAGGTTACACCCTTCCCATGTCAGCTGGTATTTAAGGACTGATGGAGGCAGGATTGTGAACTTCCAGCCATTTAGGCCAATTACAGGTTGATCCTGGCTCCCTGGAGCTCCCTGTGGTGATGACTGAAGCCCAGTATCACAAACGACTGGTCTTTTCTTGATTTTTCACTTACACAGGGTTTGATCAGTAGGTCATCAGTTAATAAATATCCTACAAACTAAAATCCACCTTATAGTTAGCTCCTGGAGGACCTAAGTGAATTAAGAGAAGGTTAATAAGGTAGTTGCAGGAACAACTCCATTATTGTCAATTTAAAAAGGTATTTGAGTCCTTTAGTACTTAGCATTGCCAAACATTAGGTTATGGATAGTAAGGAAAACTTCATTCATTCAGACATATTGGAGTAGAAGGCTTATCTGAGTTTGAAAGCTTAAAACTCATAACAAAACCACCATAATAGGTGGAACACATGATGGTGGTCACAACATAAGCAAAACTGTATGTGCGCGTCTCCGTCTTGGCCTGAGAGGACCAAAGCTATGAGGGGTCAAAGTAGTGATATTATTCTTGATTTTTGTTGGGATGTTTCTTTCCTTGCCAAGTCTTAGACTCCAGGCTACTTATCTTTTTGACTATTCCCTGCTTTCCAAATGTAGGCAGATATACCAAAGATGTTGGCAAATCGTGACGGTGTGGGTTTCCAACCACATGAAAGCTTCCTGGGCCTCCTTCCCCATCCTTGCACCTGTAGCCACCGTCAGTGGTGTTTGGAGGCTACAGCTGTTCCGACTGATGCTCATAGGACTCATACATGGTATGTCATCTGTATTCGTGGTGAAAAATGGCTACTGAACAACTTGCACAATGGAAGTCTACTCAAGCTGCCTCCTTGTCAAATTAACATACTAACAGCAGTGATAAAAATGTGACCTTCAACCTGCCCTGTAATTTAGAAGTACTAAATAACAAATGTCGTGGTCAAGGAAATGCTTCTCATGCCAGTCTAATGATTGTTTTTAGAAAAGGATATACATTGACCTTCAATGTAATAAGAAATGCAACACTTTACGGTGTCCAACTGCTAAGATTTATTTCCAACTTGTCAGACACAACTATTTTGCCCAATCCAAATCAAAGGGAATCAAGGCTGTGAAATCCACACAGGACATCAACGCACACATAAATGAAAACTACAGATGTGTCAGAGGCAACCATATACACACAAATAATGTAACTACTAAATTCCATGAAGTAGCTGTCCAGGAATACTTTCCAAATAACTTCAGCAAAAAAGAAACACTATGAAAGCATAAAGAAACTTTCCTAACAACACTACCAAGGCCAAAGCCTACCAGGTCCCCATCTTCTGCAGGGCCAAAATGTTCATGTGCTTAATAAGTACAATATGAGTAGCACAAGTGGGACCAGTCTGCTTGTAGCATGAGGTGACAACATCATCACCTATGAGAAAAGACACAAGATGACTGTGACAGGAGTATTAAATATCAACCCAAAGGAGAACAATGACCTATAATTCTCATTTAGTGCCACTGGAAATGCAGTGAAAATGTCATTCTTCCTGTCTTCAGTTTTGGAATGAATGCAGGTTCTAGCCTGTTTTTCCCACAAGGATTTCAGTTCAATACAGTTCTAGGTGACACCAGAAATCTCATGTTTAAAGCTTCCAATGACTCACTGAGAGCCTTTCAAGCCACCAGTGGAAATTCTTTTAAATGCAATCCTAAGGAAAGTGTTCATGTTACAAACGCCTTTTCAGTAAGCATATTCAAAGTTTGGATGCTTTCAGGTTTTTTGTTTGAAGGTGACAAGTTTGGATCTGTAGAAGAATGTCAACCAGATGAAAATATGATGAGTTCTGTTGCCAGCGGAGGCCCTCATACAGGGATTGTCTTCATTGTCTCAGTTGCTTATCTCATTGACAGGAACAGAACTCATGCCTGGCATCAGACAATTTAGCATTCTAAATTACTCTCTACCACTGTAGATCAACAGTAGTTGCCAGAAGTCTATATTCATTTTCCCTGTGATTAAATTGGCAGTGAAATGGAGGCAAACTTTCTTGTAAACCGTTTTTCTAAAACCTGCTTTATAAAATGTAAAGTATTTTTTTATAAAGTAAGTAAAGCAAAATTTACTTACTATGCACAAAAGAGAATTGAAATAGTGGTGTTAGTTTTACTAACTGGTTAAATATTAATATTTACCAAAGTAGAACTCATAGAGAAGGGGAAGAGTAGTTTTTTAAATAGGCACTGACAACATCATTTAACTCCATCATTTAACTTTTTTGTTGTTGTTGTTGTTGTTGAGACGGAGTCTCGCTCTGTCGCCCAGGCTGGAGTGCAGTGGCGCAATCTCGGCTCACTGCAAGCTCTGCCTCCCGGGTTCACGCCATCCTTCTGCCTCAGCCTCCCAAGTAGCTGGGACTACAGGTGCACACCACCACACCCGGCTAATTTTTTGTATTTTTAGTAGAGATGGGGTTTCACCGTGTTAGCCAGGATGGTCTCGATCTCCTGACCTCGTGATCCACCAGCCTCGGCCTCCCAAAGTGCTGGGGGGGATATACTCTTAAAGGATCAGTACATATGCAATGCATTACCTTTAACAGTACTGACCAAATTTTCTTTTTGTTTGTCTGGAAACAACAACAGCAAATGGCAATTATCATTTATCCATGGGCCAGACATCAGACAGTGAAATTTACATTTGTTATCCTGGGTTATTTCCTTGTTATCTAAATATGCTTCTTATCATTTTACACATAAGGAAAGTAACTTCCATGTTGTTACATGGTCAGCAAATAGGATGACCGGAGTTTGAGTCACTATCTTATTAAGCTTACCATTCATTATCTAGGCCTTGTCAAATGTACACACTGCCTTCTTCTGTGACAGGGAAAAATTTTAAATAAATACATTCCTACTATTTCTGAGTATATACCTAATTGTTTCTAGGTTAATAAATTCGTATCTTCTTGGCCTGCTATAAGACTTTTTTTTTTCTCAGAGTATAATAAGCTCTCACTAAGAAGAAGTCTATGATAGACAACTCCTACCACTCCTTCATCATTAACTGGACAGTTTTCACTTACCTACACAATCTTTCCTCTCTGCCATATGCCTCAGGCCCAATACTGATTGTTCTCCACTTCAGTAGATTTTCCTAGACATTCCAGGCTTTTAATGCCCTATTGTTCCAGCTTGCTGTCTATTTCACCTCCCCATCATCTCCAAAATATTTTGTTTCCTGTGGAAGCAGAGCTGGTATGAATGCAAAGAGGTTCCTAAAACGTACCTATCTCAAAGGGTTACAGTATTTTCTGTGTGATACTCCACAAATAATTCAAGGAAATTCCTCTTTTGTTTAAAAAAAATAGGGAATTTTAAAATAAAAATTATGACAATTCTACTTCTATTTATTTTATTTACCTTTTTACTTATCCAGGCCCATTCTTCATACAGTGCAGGTTGAATGACTATGAGGTTTAGAATTCTACACTAATGTACAGTGAAGGCACTCTTAATCTATAATACAGGTGCCTATTGTTAGTCTACCTGCCCGCATACTTATCAATCCATTTATAATCTATTTCTCTAATTTCTTCCGTTAATCATTCTGTTTTAGGGGTAATGGTGGCAAACAGTGAGGAGACCAGAGTAACATTTGTGGCAAAAATGAATTGTGCCAATTAAGGATGGCTTTCTCTAAGTATATGGTTTACCCTTATACAATTGAGCTCTTTATCTATCTCTAAAGTTAAGTGGAAGTTTCTGAAGAACTAATAAAAAGAAATCATTTGTATGAGGAGATGAAGCTTCTTCGTCTTAAAGTGCTTTAAAAATAGAATTTGGAAGCCTACTTGAAGACAAGCATACGCCTTTTCTATAAATGGTGCTGGGAAAACTGGAAATCCATATGTAAAATAATGAAGTTGGACCCTTACCATACAATATCTACAAAAATTAATTTAAAATGGATCAAGGATCTAAATATAAGAGCTAAATCTTCAAAACTCTGAGCAAAAATATAGGGGGAAATCTTCATGACATTAGATCTGGCAACAATTTCTTGGATATGCCACTAAAAACACAGATGACAAAAGAAAAAATAGATAAATTGAGCCATATAGAAGTTAAAAATTTTGTGCATCAGATGACATTATCAAGAGAATAAAAAGGGAACCTATAAAGTGGGAGAAAGTATTTGAAAATAATGTATTTGATTATTGTTTAATATGCAGAATATATAAAGAACCCCAACTCAAAAACAAAACAAAACAAAAAGCTAACAACCCAATGTAAAAATATGAAAAGGGTTTGAACAGACATTTCTCCAAAGATATACAAACAGCCAATAAGCACAGGAAAATATGCCCAACATCACTAATTAAGAAACTGCAAATCAAAACCACAGTGAGATACCATTTCACACCCATTAGGATGGTTAATAGGTAAAAACAAACAACAAAAAATAATAAGTATTGTCAAGGATGAAGAGAAATTGGAACAACTGTATACTGCTGGTAGAAATGTAAAATGGTGAAGCCTCTCTAGAAAACAGTATGGTGGTCATATAAAATGTTAAATATGGGATTACCATATGATCCAACAATTTTACTTCTGGGTATATACCTACAAGAATTTAAAAAGCAGGGACTCAAAGAGATATCTGTATACCCATGTTCACAGCAATATTATTTACAGTTTACAGTAGGTGAAAGAAACCTAAATGTTCATCAATGGGTGAGTACAGAAACAAAATGTGGTGTGTTTGTGTGTATGGTTACAGTTGACCGTTGAAGAAAGCAGGGGTTAGGAGTGCTGATCCCCTGCACAATTGAAAATATGTGTCTAGAGGGTTCCAGTTCAAGATAACTAACTAGAGACCTCAGGCGGCAGTTCTCACAAAGAAGAAAGTTACAAGTGAATAATCATAACTTGAATAAAATAGCAAGGAAGGGTGCTGGAGTCTAGTGAAGAACTCCTGATAAGAAGTTGGAGCACAGAAAAAAAGGAAGCAAGGCAGTGGCAGAGATCAGCTAGGAACCCTAAGCGACTTTTTGTGTTTTGTCATAAGGGTAAGTGGGAGTATTTTGGCTGCCCTTGTCCCCATGGCAGATCACTGGTATCTGAACTATTGGAGAGCTCACCTGCCTTCACGATCCTAAACACTGGTGTGGACAGCAATTTGGAGATTTCTTAAGGGCACTGCACTAGAATACCAACTCATACTGGGTTGTTTGCCCTCTCCAGAGGCCTCAGAAGTGGTGGTGTTGCATAATACTTAAGAAGCAGCCATCGGCAGACTATGTCCTCCCCCTGAACCTCAGCCCATGAGTCTCCACGTCACCAGAGCCCTCATAGACATTCCCTAATACCCACTTGGATGGTGGCAGCCACGCAGGGCTGCCAGGACCCATGAAAGCTTCTGGATTCCCAGTGGTTTTGTCCTCAAGGAGTCTTCTCCTAAGGGAAACGAGAGCGCAGCACACTGAGAGAACACTTCTTGGAACAAAGGAAACCAGAGTGCATATTTTTCTGTGCTTGAGAGCTCCCCACTTGTTTGGGCACTGTGCACGGCCAGGCAAGGGAGGAATTTAGTTCCATCCCAGTGGCCAAGCAGCATTTATGCTTGTACCCAGGCGTGGAGAAGGAAGCTTTTCCTCCTCCTGCTACAGACACAGCCATGGCTGCTCCTATGGGAAACTGGCAGAAGTGCAAAGGAGGATAGTCTTTCTGGGCTTTTAAGGGGAACTGTGTCCTCAGAGGTAGTGTGGCCACTGGGCAAGGTTTGTGTGAAAGGCAAGGCTCCTTCCCACCTCTACACAGAGTGACAGTGTTCCTGAAACTGGGAGCAGAAAAGCAGAAGGCTATGTGTTTTGGGCTGAGGGAAGAAGTTTCTCACTGAAGCCATTTTAGTGGTGAGCCACAGGACAGGCATCTTTTACGGCTCTCAGCTACATTGCATCCTGGTGATAGATAAAGATGTCTAACTAATGTGTGTTGAAAACACCAGGGCTGAGGCATGACAGGGAAGTAGATTGCATTCCTGCCTGCTGAGGGTATGGAGCTGCATCAGTTGTCTCCCCTGCTGCAGAGATTTCAGTGCATTTCACTGGGAGCTCCCTTGCCATCCACATCAGGGATGGTGCTTGTACTCACCATTGGGGGATATGAGTGTGGGTTTGCCTAGTCCAGCTCCACCCAGCTTTGTACTCTTGCTCTGGGGCTGAATGGGGAGCTCAGGCCACTGTGCATTCCACAGACCAGCCCAATGCCTGAGCCAAGAGAGAGTTTTTCCAGGTAAACAAATACGTATCATACACCCAACTGCTACTGCTGCACCCTGCTGTTATCTGTAAGTGTTACGTACTGGCCTGATGGTTGAATTGCACAACCCAATGCAAATTCTGTTAATAGAAGTGCACAGTGCTTGGGAATGAGATAAGCTACTTAAGGCCTTCACTATCCTGGCCTTGCAGAAGATCATAAGCCTGCTAACGTGCCCAATATACTGCTATTACAACCAGCATTTGAGAGAGCTACCACACTAAGGCTATCTATAACCAAGAAACTCATACAGAGTCATTGCCATCGAAAGTACCCAGAACCGAAGCCAAACCACCCTATACAACATATGTTATACTCATATCCTCAAGTGAACAAACAAATACCATCCAAATGAAAGTAAATTCAAAAATAAGAAGGGCTATTTTCTCCAAAGAAAAACAAAGCAGCAAAATAATTCTAGAAGTATGAAGAAACAGTGTTATGATGCCCTCAAAGGATCACAGTAATTCTCTTGCGAAGGATTCTAACCAAAAGGAAATCTTTAAAATATTAGATAAATGATTTGAAATGTTGATTTTAAAGAAGCTCAATGAGATCCAAAAGAAAAACAAATACAAGGAGATCAGAATATCAATTCAGGGTGTAAATGAAAAATTTGACAAAAAGATACATTTAAAAAATTCTAAACAGGACCACTGGAAATGAAAAATACGGTGAAGGAATTACAAAATACCACTGGAAGCTTTAACAATAGACTAGACAAAGCATAACAAAGAATCTCACAGCTTGAAGACAGGTCTTTGGAATAAACCCAGTCAAAAATAAAAAAAGAATTTAAAAAATAAACAAAGTTTTAAAGAAGTCTGAGAATATGTAAAATGTTGAACCTATGTGCCATACGTATTCCTGAGGACAAAGAAGAAACAAGAAGTTTGGAAAACCTATTTGAAGAAATTGAGAAAAACTTCCCTAGACTTGCTAGAGATTTAGATGTCTAAACACAAGAGGCTCAGAGGACTCTAGGAAAATACAATGCAAGAAAGACGGTATCAAGACATATAGTCATTAGACTATCTAAAGTTGATATGAAGAAAAAAATTATAAAATCAGCAAGAGAAAAACATCTAATCACATATTTTAAAAAATCCTATCAGACTGACAGTGGACTTCTCAGTAGAAACCTTACAAGCCAAAAGAGAGGGTTTCCTATTTTCAGAGTTCTGAAAGAAAAAAATCTTCCACCTATGAATTTTGTATCCTATTGGAATAAGCTTCAAAAATGAAGGGGAAATTAAGTATCTCCAGGACGATCAAATGCTAAGAGAATCTGTTACTACCACTAGACTGATGCTACAAAAATGCTTCAGGGAGTTCTAAATATGGGAACAAAAGATTGATACTTACTATGATAAAAACACAGGTCTTTAAACTCACAGGTCATAAAACCCACAGGTCTTATAAAAATAATTGCACAAGTGACACTGCAAGACAACTAGATAATAATTAACATTATGACAGGAAAAACCTCATATTATCAATATTAACCTTGAATGTAAATGGACTAAATGTTCCACTTTAAAGATATAGATTTGAAGAATTGACTTAAAAAACATTATTCAACCATATGCTGCTTATAGGAAGTCCACCAAACTGGGAAAGACACTTATAGACTGAAGGTAAAGGGGTGGAAAAAGATATTCCATGCAAACAAAAATCAAAGGCAAGCAGGAGTAGCTATCCTTATATCACATCAAACTGACTTTAAATCAACAACAGTTAAAAAACAACAAAAAAGACAAACAAGGTAATTATCTATTGGTGAAGGGATGAGTTCAACAAGAAGATATAAGAATCTTAAATATATATGTGCCTAAAACTGGAGCATGCAGATTCATAAAACAAATACTACAAAACCTATGAAGAGATAGACAGCAATACCATAATAGTGGTAGTTTCAAACTTCACCAACAGCACTACAAAGATCATCAAGACAGAAAATCAATAAAGAAATAATGGGTTTAAATTGGATTTAGACCAAATGAACCTAACAAAAATTTACAGAACATTCTACCCAACAACCATAGAATATCCTTTCTTATAAATTCATGGAACATTCTCCAAAATAGACCATGTGTTTGCCATAAACCAAGTCTCGAAAATTTCAGAAAACTGAATAATATCAAGAATCTTCTCAGACCACAACGGAAGAAAACTAGAAATAAATCTCAAGAGGAACTCTCAAAGCTATACAAATACATGGAAATTAAACAATCTGCTCCTGAATGATCTTTGAGTCAAGAATGAAATTAAGACAGTAATTTAAGAAATTATTTAAACAAATGAAAATGGAGACACAATATACCAAAATGTCTTGCATACATTTTAAAAAACACTAAAAGGGAAGTTGGTAGTGTTAAATGTCAGCATAAAAAAATAAAAAGATCACAAACTAACAACCTGATGTCTCACCTAAAGGAAAGACAAAGTCAAGAACATACCAAGCCCAAACCTAGCAGAGGAAAAGAAATAATAAAGATTAGAGAAGAACTAAATGAAAGTAAGTCCTAAAAAACAGTAACAAGGATAAATACAAAGTTTGTTCTTTAAAAAGATAAACAAAATTGATAGACTGCAAAACTAGACTAACCAAAAGAAGAGAGAAGATTCAAATATGCACAATCAGAAATGATAAAGGTGACATTAAAACTGACACCACAGAAATATATAATATCATCAGAAACTACTATGAATGTCTCTTCACACACAAGCTAGAAAATCTAGAAGAAACAGATCAATTCCTGGAAACATGCAACCTCCAAAGATTGAACCAGGAAGAAACAGATATCCTGAACAGACCAATAATGAGTAGTGAGATTTAACCAGTAATAAACTTTTTCTCAAGAAAAAAAGGGGTCAGAACCAGATGGATTTACAGCCCATTTCAACCAGACATAAAAATAACTGGTATCAATCCTACTGAAATTGTTCCAAGAAATTGAGAAGGAGGGAATCCTCCCTAACTCGTTGTATAAAGTCTGTTATCATCGTGATTCCAAAGCCACACAAAGTCACAACAACAACAACAGCAAAGAAAACTACAGGCAGTATTTGTAAATGCATATGGAGGCAAAAATCCTCAACAAAATATAGCAAGACGAATTCAATAGCAAATCCAAAAATTAATAGAACACAATCTGGTAGGTTTTATTTCAGGGATGCAAGGATGGTTCAATTAAATGCGATTAACCTAAAAATCAGAATTAAAAACAAAAAACATATAATCATCTCAAAATATGCAGAAAAAAGCATTTGATAAAATTCAGCATCCCTTCATGATAAAACCTTCAAGAAACTAGGCATCAAAGAACATACCTCAAAACAATGGAAGCCATATACAAGAAGCCCACAGCCAACATCAAACTGAACAGGTAAATGTTGAAAGCATTCCCCATAAGAACTGGACAAGACAAAAATATCCACTCTCACTACTCCCATTCAACTTATTACTTACTGGAAGTCCTAGCCAGAGCAATCAAGCAAGAGAAAGAAATAAAAAGCATCCAAATTAGAAAACTGGAAGACAAATTATCTTTTTGCTGATGATATGATCTTATACTTAGAAAACTCTAAATATTTCTCCAAAAGACTGCTAGATTTGATAAATGAATTCAGAATAGTTTCAGTATACAAAATCTAGGTGCAAAAATCAGTAGCATTGCTATATGCCAATAACAATCAAGCTGAGAACCAATCAAGAAGTCAATCCTATTTACAGTAACTACAAAAAAAAATACCAAGGAATAAATTAAACTAAGGAGGTGAAAGATCTTTACAAGAAAAACTACAAAACCTCGATGGAAGAAATTGCAGAAGACACACACACACACAAAAATAGAACAGCAGCCCATGCTTATGAATTAGAAGAATCATCATTGATAAAATGATCATTCTGCCCAAAGCAATCCATAGATTCAAAGCAATTTCTATCAAATTACCAAAATAATTTTTCACAGAATTAGACAAAAATCCTAAAATTCATATAGAACCACAAAAGAGCCTGAATGGCCAAAACAATCCTAAGCAAAAAGAACAAAGCCAAGGTGTTACATTACCTGACTTTAAATTATACCGCAAGCTATAGTAACCCAAACAGCATATTATTGGTACATAAAATAGACACACATAACAATGGAAAGGAATACCTACAATCAACTGACAGTCAACAATGTAGATAAAAATAAACTATGGTGAAAGGACACCTTATTCAATAAATAATACTGGGAAAATTGGCCAGTTATAGGCAGAAGAATGAAACTTGACCTCTATCTCTCGCCATACACAAATATTAACTCAAGGTAAATTAAAGATTTAAACATAAGACCTGAAACTATAAAAATAATAGAAGAAAACCTAGGAAAATCTACTGGACACTGGCCTAGGCAAAGAATTCATGACTGAGGCCTCAAAAGCAAATTCAACAAAATCAAAAATAGACAAATGGGACTTAATTCAACTAAAATGATTCTGCACAGCAAAAGAAATAATCAACAGAGTGAATAGTCAACCAGCAGAATAGGAGAAAATATTTGCAAACGGCGCATTTGACAAATGACTAATATTTAGTATCTGCAAGAAACTTAAACAACAAGAAATAAATAACCCCATTACAAAGTGGGCAAAAGACATGAGCATTTTTCAGAAGAAGACATACAAATGGCTAATAAGCACGTGAAATATGCTAAACATCACTAATCAGAGAAATGCAAATTAAAACCACGATGAGATACTATCTTACACCAGTCAAAATGGCTATTATTAGAATGTCAAAAAGTGGCAGATGTTGGCATGGATGTGGGGAAAAGGGACACTTACACACTGTTGGTGGGAATGTAAATTGAAACAATCTCTATGGAAAACAGTATGGAGATTCCTCAAAGAACCAAAAATAGAACTACTATTGGATCCAGCAATCCTACTACTGGATATATTTCCAAAGGAAACAAAATGTTTATATCTAAAAGACATCTGCACTTGTATGTTTATTACAACATTGTTCACAATAGGAAAGATAAGGAATCAACCTAAGTGCCCATCAACAGATGATTAGATAAAGAAAATGTCTCTCTTTCTCTCTCTCACACACACACACACAAACAAATACTACTCAGCCATAAAAAATCATAAAATAATATATTTTGCAGTAACATGGGTGGAACTGGAGGCCATTATCTTAAGTGAAATAATTCAGAAACAGTCAAATACTGCATGTTCTCACTTATCAGCAGGGGCTATATAATGTGTACACACAGAAATAGAGTGAAATGATAGAAATTGGAGACTCGGAAATGTGGGAGGGTGCAACGTGGTTGAGGAATGAGAAATTACCTAATGGGTACAATGTACATTATCCAGGTGATGGTTACACCAAAAACCTAGACTTCACCACTACACAAAACTTCCATGTAACAAAACTACACTTGTACCCTCTAAACCTGTAATAATATCAATACAAAAATCTGTGTATCACTTTTGATTCCCCAATAACTTACCTACTAGTAGCCTGCTGTTTATTGGAAGCTTCACAGATAACATAGTTGATTAACACATATTTTGTACATGTATTATGTACTGTATTCTTTTATTATTATTATTATTATTATACTTTAAGTTTTAGGGTACATGTGCACAATGTGCAGGTTAGTTACATGTGTATACATGTGCCATGCTGGTGTGCTGCACCCATTAACTCGTCATTTAGCATTAGATATATCTCCTAATGCTATCCCTCCCCCTCCCCCAACCCCACAACAGTACCCAGAGTGTGATGTTCCCCTTCCTGTGTCCATGTGTTCTCATTGTTCAATTCCCACCCATGAGTGAGAACATGCGGTGTTTGGTTTTTTGTCCTTGCGATAGTTTACTGAGAATGATGATTTCCAATTTCATCCATGTCCCTACAAAGGACATGAACTCATCATTTTTTATGGCTGCATAGTATTCCATGGTGTATATGTGCCACATTTTCTTAATCCAGTCTATCATTGTTGGACATTTGGGTTGGTTCGAAGTCTTTGCTATTGTGAATAGTGCCGCAATGAACATACGTGTGCATGTGTCTTTATAGCAGCATGATTTATAGTCCTTTGGGTATATACCCAGTAATGGGATGGCTGAGTCAAATGGTATTTCTAGTTCCAGATCCCTGAGGCATCGCCACACTGACTTCCACAATGGTTGAACTAGTTTACAGTCCCGCCAACAGCGTAAAAGTGTTCCTATTTCTCCACATCCTCTCCAGCACCTGTTGTTTCCTGACTTTTTAATGATTGCCATTCTAACTGGTGTGAGATGGTATCTCATTGTGGTTTTGATTTGCATTTCTCTGATGCCCAGTGATGATGAGCATTTTTTCATGTGTCTTTTGGCTGCATAAATGTCTTCTTTTGAGAAGTGTCTGTTCATATCCTTTGCCTACTTTTTGATGGGGTTGTTTGTTTTTTTGTATTCTTACAATAAAGTAAGAGAAAACATGTTATGAAGAAAATCATAAGGGGGAGAAATACATTTATAATAATGTATGGTATGTATCAATACCATAAGAGTATGTCATTTGTTTACAAGATGAATCATCTCTGAAATGGTGGACAATAACAACTGCAGACCTCAATCTACAGTACATATAAACTTTTTCTTGTAATGTGATGACTTTTCTCTGATTCTGGGACGTACTTCCAGCATCACTAGTAGCACTTCATATGGGTCCTATGATGTTATGCAGGGTTTATGGTTTTCCACTAAACGTAATTTAAAAATATGAGAACCATGAAAGATGACTTTTTAGTGTGATACACAATTTACTGGAGAGATGAACTGCTCATTTGGAGGTGATTAGCATCACATGGATTTTTAAGTGAATACTCCCTAACACTTGAGTTTACCACAACAGGAGGTGGTTATGAAATTATTAGAACACTACAATATGTACTACAATTAATTTTATAGTTTTGATTTAATGTTGCATCTTTATATCTGTGTACATTTCTCTCAACTGCAAATAGTGCCACGTACGATCTGTGTGTGCATAAGCTTTGATAAATTTTAAATTTGTATAATAGATTTGTGTATATTTTATGATAGTATATGATAAAATAGACTATTATTTGTATATATATATAATGCATTAATAATTTACCTTTTTCTTAATTTCTTTTGATATTTCTAGGCTATGTGGTTTGCTGTGAGTTTTTTTCAAATTTTTAAAAATCTCCAAAATTTTTTCTAATATATATATTGAAAAAAATCCACATATAAGCGGACTCAGACTATTCAAATTCATGCTGTTGGAGGGTCAACTACATATACAGATATATAAATACAATAATGTATGTGTATATATAGTATATACACATCCATGCACATCCAATAAAATATTATTCAACCTTAAAAAGGAAGAAAATTCTGACACATTCTATAACATGGATAAGTCTTGACAACATTATGTTAAGTGAAATAAGCCAGTAGAAAAAGGACAAATACTATATAAATCACTTATATAAGGTACCCAGAGTAGTCAAAATCATAGAGACAGAAAGTAGAATGGTTGTTACCAGGGGATGGAGGGAGGAAAAAATGGGGAGTTTTTTTTTTCCTGGGTATGGAGTTTCAGTATGTGAAGATGAAAAAATTATTTAGATGGGTGGTGGTGATAGTTGTAAAACAATGTGTATGTACTTAATACCACTGAATTGCACACTTAAAATTGGCTAAAAGGGTAAGTTTTATATTATCTATAATTTACCACAATAACAAGATGAGAATAAGATTGATATTGTGTTTCAAAATATGGGACCCATAAATGAAGAAGGAAAACATTGGAATATACAATACTTTGCTTAACTTCAAGGAGAAGATTAGTAACCATTCAACTAACTGAAATGTAAACAAATTATAATTTAACTCTCAATCTATATCAAGATAAAATTTAATACATACATACACACACACACACACACACACACACACACACACACAAACACACATATCCCAGTCAGGTGGAATTAGAGACCCTCAATCTAAAATCATAATGGTGCCCAAAAATCAATTTTAGCTCTCACACAGTCTTTGAGAATCAAATACAGGACACAGATTTTTCTCCGCAGAGAAAATCGTATATATAAATATATTAATAAAATAGTGCCTTCTAAGATCATGGAGAAGTCCTGACAGCCATGGAGTAGAAAGGAAATTGTCATCCCAGATTTTTCTTTTTTTTAACTTTTAAGTTCAGGGGTACATGTGCAGGTTTGTTAGGTAAACTTTTGTCATGGAAATTTGTTGTACAGATTATTTCGTCGGTCAGGTATTAAACCTAGTACCCAGTATTTATTTCTCCCGATCATATCCCTCCTCCCAATCCCCATGTTCTGATTGTCCCAGTGTGTGTTGTTCCCCTCTGTGTGCCCATGGGTTCTCATCATTTAGCTCCCACTTATAAGTAAGAACATGTGGTATTTGGTTTTCTGTTCCTGCATTAGTTTTCTAAGGATAATGACCCCCAGCTCCATTCATGTTCTTTCAAAGGGCATGATCTCATTCTTTTTTATGGCCACATAGTATTCGATGGTGTATATGTACCATGTTTTCTTTATCCAGTCTATCATTGATGGGCATTTAGGTTGATTCCATATCTTTGTTATTATGAATGGTGCTGCAATGAACATATGCATGCATGTGTCTTTATAAAAGAATGATTTATATTCCTTTGGGTATATACCCAGTAATAGAATTGCTGGGTCAAATGGTACTTCTGCCTTTAAGTCTTTGAGGAATCGCCACACTGTCTTCTACGATGGTTGAACTAATTTATATTCCCATCAATAGTATAAGTATTAGTATAGTATAAGTATTCTTTTTTTCCTCCTCAACCCCACCAGCATCTGTTATTTTTTGATTTTTTAATAATAAATAGCCATTCTGACTGTTGTGAGATGGTATCTCATTGTGGTTTTGATTTGCATTTCTCTAATGATTAGTGATGTTAAGCTTGTTTTCATATGATTGTTGGCTGCATGTATGTCTTCTTTTGAAAAGTGACTGTTCATGTCCTTTGCCCTTATTTTATTGTGGTTGTTTGTATTTTTCTTGTAAATTTGTGTAAGTTACTTACGGATGCTGGATATTAGGCCTTTGCTGGATACATAGTTTGCAAAAATGTTCTCCCATTCTGTGGGTTGTCTGTTTACTCTGCTGATAGCTTCCTTTGCCGTGGAGAAACTCCTTAGTTGAATTATCTCCCATTTGTCAATTTTTGCTTTTGTTGCAATTGCCTTTGGCATCTTCATCATGAAATCTTTCTCCATGGCCATGTCCTGAATGGTATTGCCTAGGTTATCTTCTAGGGTTTTATAGTTTGGGGTTTTATATTCAAGTCTTTAATCCATCTTGAGATAATTTTTGTATACGGTGTAAGGAAGGAGTGCAGTTTCAATCTTGTGCATATGGCAAGCCAGTTATCCCAGTATCATTTATTGAATAGGGAATCATTTCTCCATTGCTTCTTTTTGTCAGCTTTGTTAAAAATCAGATAGTTGTAGGTGTGCTGCCTTATTTCTGGGTTCTCTATTCTGTTCCATTGGTCTATGTGCCTGTCTTTGTACCAGTGCCATGCTGTTTTAGTTACTGTAGCCCTGTAGTAGAGTCTGAAGTTGGATAGTTTGATGCCTGCAGCTTTGTCCTATTTGCTTAGGATTGCCTTGGATATTCAGGCTTTTGCTTTTTGGTTCCATATGAATTTTAAAATTGTTTTTTCTAGTTCTGTCAAGAATCTCAATGGCAGTTTAATGGGAATAGCATTGAATCTATAAATTGCTTTGGTCAATGTGGTCATTTTAATATTGATTCTTCCCATACATGAGCATGGTATGTTTTTCCATTTGTTTATGTCATCTCTGATTTATTTGAGGAGCATTTTGTAGTTCTTGTTGTAAAGATCTTTCACCTCCCTGGTTAGCTCTATTCCTAGGTATTTTATTTTTTTGTGACAATTGATCATCCTAGATTTTTCTATGGCTCACTTATATGTAATGTAATCTAAAATAATGACCTGGCAAAATAAGAGTTCTTGTTTAATGTTTTGTTTGATTTAAAGTAATTTTATAAGACAGTTTAAGCAATTAAGATTAACTTTATATTTTGACTTTTTTTAAAATTTAAAGCTTAACGGTTTTTCATGCTATTAATTAGATTTCATTGTACTATGTCATTTATGAAGCATAGTATACAAGAGCATTTCTCAACTAATAAGCTAATGAAAACATACTTTTTAAGGCATGAGTCAAAAATGTTCTTTTTAGTGGCAATAAGATTTGTAATGGGGGACACTCTCACCTTCCTGATCATATACACAGATAAAAAATTTAAAGAATTTCATTCCCTAAACCCCCCAAAAAAATCAGTATATGATAGTAGAACCAGGAAAACAGAACAGCATGCAAGAGAAGAAAAGGGAAGAAATAAAAATAAGTAGGAAAACCAAAATAGAGTGTAAGAGGAAGAGAGAAGGTGAGAGAGAGGGCAAGCAGTAGGAAGGCATAATGTCAAGTTATTGTCATATATATCTTTGCATTACAACTTTAGTTATTTGACTCTTTACTGGAGGGCAAAATTATCTCATCTGCTGTTGCAGCTACATCAATCTAAAATCACAATGGTGCTCACACATCAATTATGGTGATACCAATGTTTTGTGACAGCATAATTTAATCAGATCACTGTAATTAAATCTTCCAAGTCATTAAATCACCTTTTACAAAGTATATTACTTTTATTTCAATTATTAATTCAATTTAATGAACATCTCATGCTCTCTTTCCTATATATTATTTTTTAAGTTATCTTATGTGCCTCCTTATACCCTACAGGTTCATTTTAATTTTCAAAGAGCAATAGATTCAGGAGATAAATGTATTAAACAAAGACATCCAGCACATCTTGAAACATTTCCATGAAGAACAATCACACAAATTAAACAGATTTTAGAAAATATTTAAGACCAGAATGTGTGTGAATATATAATTCCAAAGACAAAGAATATAAATTTTACCCTTGGTGTCATACATTTTGACTGACAATGACACTAATAATTTAAAACTGTAAATCTCAAATGATTAAAAGAGGAAGAAGACAAAGAAGTGAAAGAAGCAAAAGGGACTACTGCCACTACTAGAGGATTTCCTAGAAGAAACAGTAGGAGATTTTCAAAAAATAATCATAGAATAAGAAAGATACTTTCTAGGGTGACGCCAAGCCTTGAGGCCACAAATAAAAAAAGTTTCATATATTCAGATATATAAATAAGCTAACATTTTACAGAATAAATTTCAGAATAAGCAAAGGCAAAATGATTAACTGGAAAAAAATCGTATTTTTAACTCATTGCAAAATGATAGTTTGTCCCCAATCCCATTACTCTCCTCTTCTATAGTATTAGTTTCACTATGCAGAACATGTCAATCTAAAGACTATATTTCCTAGATTCCCAACATCTAGATATGGCCTTCATCAAAGTTCTGACCAATAGTGTTTGACTGTGAGTGAGGCACACTGGTTTTGAATCTTGCCCTTATAACAACTATGGGTAGGTTCCTCTAGATCTCTCCATTCTCCATCTCTGGGGACAGTAAGAACTAGAGCTGTCACATTGGACCCATCATTGGAAGCCATATATTGATCCTTGAGCTCTGTGTGTCTATCAAAACTATTATATGAGAGAAAGAAAAAGAAACTTCCAGTTCATTTAAGCTACTCTATTGGGACATTTTTTTAATATAGCAATAGAAGCTGTCCCCTAAATGACACATTGTTCTTACATTGTTCTTTGAAGTGATAACTTCTCTAGTATTTAAAGATCTCTTTTAACTAAAATAATAAGATTAACAATGCAATAGAAAAATTAGCTAAGGAAATAGTTCATAAAAAAGGAAATAAAAATTGATCTTAAACATATGAAGGGCCAGGCGTGGCAGCTCACGCCTGTAATCCTAGCACTTTGGGAGGCCGAGGCGGGTGGATCACGAGGTCAGAAGATCAAGACCATCCTGGCTAACACGGTGAAACCCCGTCTCTACTAAAAATACAAAAAATTAGCCATGCGTGATGGTGGGCACCTGTAGTCCCAGCTACTTGGGAGGCTGAGGCAGGAGAATGGCGTGAACCCGGGAGGGGGAGCTTGCAGTGAGCCAAGATCGCGCCACTGTACTCCAGCCTGGGCAACAGAGCGAGACTCCATCTCAAAAAAAAAAAAAATATATATATATATATATGTATATATGTGAGAGAATTGTTAAATCTCTCACAAAAGTAAAGAATGAAAACAGAGATTCTATTGAGAGGGTATTTTGAACTATCAAATTGCCAAGAATCTGAGAGCTTGGTAACATGTTATGTTCATGAGCATAAGGGGAAACAGGTACTCTTACGAATTGTTGATTAGAGTATAAAAGTGTAAAATGCACACAGACACAAACTTTTTGATATTCCACACCTAGGAACTCATCATATACATATACACAAATGCAAAGTGGCATGTGTATAACGTAATTTATTTAGTCACTGTTTGTTTTAGCAAAGGATCACAAATCACCTACGTATTTATTGGCAGGAGACTGCTTGTGTAAATTATGGTCCAGATGCTATAGTTTGGATGTTTTGTGCCCTCAAACCTAATGTTGGAGATGGGGACTAGTGGGAGGTTTTTGGGTCATGGGGGCAAATCTCTCATGAATAGATTAACTCTCTTCCTTGGGGAAAAGAATGAGTGACTTCTCACTCTGCTAGTACCCATGAGAGCTGGTTATTAAAAAGAGCTTGGCACCTCCCCTCTCTTTTCCTTTTGTTTCTGCTCTTGCCATGTGATCTGTGCATACATTGGTTCTCCATTGCCTTCTGCCATGACTGGAAGTAGCCTGAGGCCCTCACCAGAAGCTGAGCAGATGGCGGTAGCATGCTTCTTGTCCAGCCTGAGGAATCGTGAACCAAATTAAACTCTTTAAGTTATAAATTACCCAGTATTAGGTATTCCTTTATAGCAACACTAAATGGACTATGATACCAACCAATTAAATACCATAGAGCACTAGAAAAGATTGAGGGAATCCTTTACACACTAATATATAATAATCTCAAAGATATATATTTTACTGATAAAAGGAAAGAACATTATATATAATTTAGCATTTATATAAAATTAGGGAAAACATTAACTTAGACTTGATTATAGTCATAGCATATTTCTGTATTTCTAAAAAGAAGGAAACTGGTAACCTTATATACCTCTACTAAGGGGAAGTAGATTATTGGTGTATAGGAGTGGAAGAAACTATATAATTTATTTGTGACTTATAAATTTTAAATCATGTGGCCATATTCTTCAAGCAAAAAATAAAATATAAAAATCAAAGAGTTGGTAGAACCCCGTATATATTTTTTTCAATTTTTAATAAGATCAAAATTTTGTACCATGGGATAGAGGCTGTATTCCAAATACTAAAGGTAAAATACAACTACTACATTAATCATAATGTTGATTATTTTCATTGGTAGAGTAAGATAATTATTAATGCAATACGAAGCAAAAGTAAAGCAATTAGAATGAATGACATTCTTAAAATTTTGCTTTAAATGCATTAAAATTTGAAATATAGACTTTGAGTTTCAAGAGACAAATGATTTTTACAAATGGGAGGAAATGGGGATAAATACATGAAAATACAGATCATCCATTTGCCCTGTGAACATTTTCACCCTTATATTAAATAGCATGGAGTCTTATATTCAGGATTTGGAATTGAACTTGCGTCTACTAACACTAATGTTCAGTGTAAGTATACACTATATGTTGAAGGTTAGGTTTTCACTCTTGTATTTATAAAGTATGATCAAAGCCCCAAAAAGAATTTCTAAAATTTTAAATATCCATATGTATTAGTCTGTTCTGACGCTGCTGATAAAGACATACCTGAGACTGGGCAATTTACAAAAAAAAAAGAGGGTTAATTGGACTTACAGTTCCATGTGGCTGGGGAAGCCTCCCAATCACGGCAGAAGGCAAGGAGGAGCAACTTATGTCTTACATGGATGGCAGCAGGCAAGGAGAGAGGGCTTGAGCAGGGAAACTCCCCCTTAAAGAACCATCAGATCTCGTGAGACTTATTCACTATCATGAGAACAGCATGGGAAAGACTTGCCCCCATGATTTAATCACCATCCACTAGGTTTCTCCCACAAAATGTGGGAATTCAAGATGAGATTTGGGTGGGGACACAGCCAAACCATATCACCATATAACAAGTGATATAACTTTGTCTTTAGATAACCCAGTAAGTTTTCTAAATTGTGTGTGTATATGTGTGTGTGTGTGATTTTAAATGTCTAATGCCTGGGAAACATACAACAATAATTAATCTATTCTGTACTTCAACGGAGGGGGATCCTACAATATAAGGCAAAATTATTACACCTTATGATATTCCTCCATTTAAATGTCTTCAGCACAATAGAGCAATAAAGAAAATGTCTTGTAAGCAATGTAAATTTTCAGGCCCCACTCCCTGACCTACTGAATTAGTGACTCTGGGAGCAGTAGAAATAAGTATTTTAACAAGACTTCCCAGTGATTACAGTTTGAAAACTACCATTTTAATTTAATGGGAAGAATCAGTATTAAGTATCACCTAAGACAATATTATTTTTTGGCATGAGACCAAACTAAAATAATAAATATCTCTTCAAAACTTTATTGCCAAGTTTGAAATATGATGTTTGAATTGAAACTATATATCTGTATCACATAAATTAATTATATATATATTATTTATTATATAAACACACATGGTACATATATATATATATATATATATATATAAAATTACATAGGCTATTTTAGAAGCAGAAGTTCTCTAACCTGGAGTCTATATATTTCCATATAACTATTTTTCTCTACAATTTTATGTATAATAGTTTATGCACTAAAGTCACCCTATTTTGAATATTTGTTCAAATTGTGGAGATCAATTACCATGGAATGCACACTGAGGCATACGATGAGGCATTCAAGAAAATTGAGACTTCTAAAATCTACCACGGTTTTGGAATCCAACACAGCTATGTCCAATGCCTCTTTAATCAATAATAATTTTAAAACACCATCTCTTCGTTTGAAAGAAGCAATTTACCTTCATCATGCTTCACACATACACAAACACACACACACATACACGTGTGCATAAGTTTCTTTAAAAATTTTAACTATGAAGACTAATAAATACTAAAATATTATAGCATGATATTTAAAATAGGGGCATTTTAAAAAGAGATATTTATCAGGTTCCTCTTTTTCATACTAAATTACTATTGAAATGTTCTCTCATTTCTATCTCTGCAATTTATTTTAACCCAGTCATCTCTCTTTTATTCTTTCCTAAACTTTTTGCACTTTACACAGAGTGTTTCTTTTCTCATTATCTGAAATCCCTGATCCCTGTGTCAACGCACTCCTAAATTATTCTAAACCATCTAAATGACTTCCTTAATCACAGGTCTGGTCCTGGTTTTCGTGGGTTCTTCATTAGTTCCTAGCTATTTATGGAATAGAGGTAACAATCATGCTTTTAGATATGGAAGGGACTTTATTCAATCTGCTTCATTTTACATGAAACTGAGACCCAGATAGGTTACAAAAGTTCCTGGGGTCAACTCAACAAATTATTGTTAGGGGAGCACTAGAGCACTCAGTCAACTGATCTCAATTGGCAATAGCATCTTAAATTTTAATCCAAGACTTTGAAGTTTCAGATTATAATCTAAAGCACATCTTCCCATATTTCCTTTCATAAGCCTTATGTATGGATTTATGGAATTATTTACTATTTCCTATACATACCCCAGGTTTACTCACCTCATGCTCATGCTCTTTTTCTCTGCTTAGAAATTCCTTTGTTCCTCTCAATTTTTGAAAATACGTATCTCTAGTATTAAAGGTCCATCTCATATGTCACCTCCTCCATTGAATCATTTGAGATCTCCAAATTATAAGTGGTCTCTTTTCTGAGACCTCTCATTACCCTTAAGCAAAGGTCATAATATTTTCTATCTCACATGAGTACTTAATATATGTATTCCGGCCGGGTGCGGTGGCTCACGCCTGCAATCCCAGCACTTTGGGAGGCTGAGGCGGACAGATCACAAGGTCAGGAGATCAAGACCATCCTGGCTAACACGGTGAAACCCCGTCTTTATTAAAAATACAAAAAAAAAAAAAAAGCCGGGCGTGGTGGCAGGCGCCTGTAGTCCCAGCTACTCGGGAGGCTGAGGCAGGAGAATGGTGTGAACCCGGGAGGCAGAGCTTGAAGTGAGCAGAGATCGCCCCACTGCACTCCAGCCTGGGTGACAGGGCGAGACTCCGTCTCAAAAAAAAAAAAAAAAAAAAAAAAAAAAAAAAAATATATATATATATATATATATATATATTCCATTCCTCTCTTGAACTATTCTTGAAAGATTTTTTTGTCTGATTCATATCTATAACCAACATAGAGCCTAACAGAGTGTGTTAGGCATAGTATTATCTGTTAAATGAGGATTTAAATTAATGAATCAAAGCACTTTCTCCAATTTTAATGAACATAATTGATATAGTACAGCTATATTGTCTAAAACTGGGAGGTTCTTATATACTTTTGGGGACTACTGAATAGTGCTCAGGTACGATGATTTTTTAGGATTTTGGAGAGCTCTTCTGAAAGTGTTCTATCCATAAAAATCTTGCTACTTAACATTATAAAATAATCTGTAATAAACACTATATCAAAGCATTACCAAAAAAATTCTGAAGCTGAAGCTTAGGACAAACTCACTTTAGAATATATTTACCTGTGATCTTGAAGTACCACCTGGTTTACCTTTAAAATTAACATTGTTTTCTTGTGTGGAGTCAGGGTAAGGGCTGGTGGACACCATCGCAAAACACAGCGTTGTTGCTGGAAAAATTGGTTCTCTATTCTAACAACTAAATATTACAACAAAGAACAAACTCAACTTCAACAAAATGTAGGCTGAATTTAATAACTCAGATGATCAAGTTCAGAGTCAGAATGGGAGGGCATAGATACAAGGAGTGGAAAAATTCCTGACAATTTTTTCTTGGTATCTAATAGGAGCTCTGTCTCCTGTATAAATTTTTATTCCTATGATTTTGTAGAGGTTCTGTTCTTCTAACCAAATTCAGATGAAGGCAATAGTTGAATCAAGGCAGGTTTGCTCAAGAGTACTCTTCTCTATATTACATTTTTAAATGTTGCATATATTATATCTTATATTATGTTCCATATCATTTTTAAAATTTTACTTATACCTTTTACAGGCTCATTAGTGATATTACCCATGTATTCCCATCCCCAGTAAAACAAAATTAATTGTAATGAGTAAGACTTGTATACATTATACAAGTAAAAAATTAATAGGAAATAGAGTTTTGTAAGCAATATGGTGGAATAGGAAGGCCCAGACCCTCATTTCTCCCATGGAGACACTAATTCAACAACAGTACATGAAACCAATTTTCTGTGTAAGAAATCCAGAAACTAGTTAAGAGATTTCTGCAACCCAGAAGAACATGAAACAAAACATGTGGCACCCTGTCATCATAGCCCCTCCCTTCATTATAGTACCACATGGTCAAAAAGAAACTCCTAGCTCCAGATTCTCCTTGAGGAAGGAAAGAGAAAACTTGACACTATCTTCTTATGTTATGACTTTTCAGGGGTCTGTCAAAGGGACTGGTGGCTGTTTCATCGGTCTTAGAGCAATGAAGCGACCCAGCATATTCTAGATGCTTGGAGGTTGTTGAGAACCGAAAAGAAACTGGTGATATGTTGCTTCTCCAGAGGAACACTGGTACAGCTGACAGGGTGATACAGCTCAGAAGCATTTTCCTTAGAAAGAAGGAGAAGACTGGAGCATGTGCACAACACTGTAGCTTTTCAGGAGGCTGCCGGAAAGGCTGATTTCTGTCTTGCCTGTCTTAGAACGCACACAGGACCTGGACTACTCTAAATGCCTAGGGGCTGCTGAGACTTGAAAAGAGCTGGGTGGTGTGCCGCTGCCTTAGTGGACCTGCAGTACAGCAAATAGACACCAGAGGGAGCACGAGATTACAAGCTCTTGAAATACGAATTCTGCAAATTGCTCTAAAGGAATCTACATGCGCAGAGAAGATACATCCACAGGAGAGGTCTGACAAGCCCCCAGAATTTCTAGTTGGGTGATTGGTGAAGGTTTTCCCTGTACAAAGCCAGTTTGTAAATAATGTTAGAGGTGTTTGCTTTTTTCAAATGCAAGGATAACAACACAAAGTTGTGAAGAATATAAAGAGGGAAAACGGCTCAACCAAGAAACAAAATGAATCTACAGAAATTGATCCTAAAGAGACAGAGGTATAAGATTACCAAACAAATAACTCAGAATAATCGTCATAAAGATGCTCAATGAAGTCCAGAAAATGATTCATCAACAAAATAAAATTTAAACCAAGAGATAAAAGGTATTTTTTAAATCAGTAATTTTACAGCTGAAAAATGCAAAAATTGAACTGAAAAAATTAGTAGAGGGGCTAAATAGAAGACTTGATTAAGTAGAATAGAAACAATGAGTAAACTTGTAGATAAGTCATTTGAAATGATCCAGTCAGAACTTGAAGACAGGTCATTTGAGAAAAAAAAAACAGAAAAGAAGAAGGAAAAATAGGGAAGAAAGCCTAAGGAGCTTATGGGACACCATTAAACACACCAAAATATGAATTATGGGTGTCTCAGAAAGAGAAAAGAGAGAGAAGGGAAAGAAAGCTTACATAAAGAAAATATGATTGAAAACTGCCAAAATCTGGAGAAGAAAATAAACATCAGATTCAAGAAGTCCAATAAATTTCATATAGGATGAAACCCAAAAGACCACAACAAGGTACATTATAATCACATTGTCAAAACTTAAAGACAGAGAATTTTTAATGCAGCATCACTAAAGTAATGGAGAAGGGAACCCCATAAGATAATTTGTGGATTTCTCAAAAGAAATCGTATAGGGCAGAAAAGAGTGAGATGTTTTATTAAAGTGCGAATGACAAAAACTGCCAACTATTGAAATGGTATCCAGCATAACTGTTGTTCAAAAATAAAGAAGAGAAAAAGACTTGACCAATAAAGAAAAGGTGAGCTAGTTCACCAACACTAGACCTGCCTTGAAAGACCGCTAAATTGAATCCTGTAAGTTAAAATGAACAAATGCTAAACAGCAAGATGAAAGTATAAAGCTCACTGGTAAAGGTAAATATACACACAAATGAGAATATTCTAATACTGTAAAGTTGGGGAATAAATCACATTTTAATAATTTTTAAAAATAGTTTTAATTATCATGGATACATAATCATTGTAATTATTTAAGGGGTACATGTGATATTTTTGAAGTCCAAAGATAAGGTACAAAATAACAATAAATATAAAATACGTTAATGTATGCATAATAAAAAAGAATATTTGTGACGATAACATAAAATGGGTGGGGTATGTAGAAGAACAGAGTTCTTGTATGTGCTTGATGTTAAACTGTCATCATCTTAAAACAGGTTGTTTATAACTACACAATATTATGTGTAAGCCTCGTGGTAATCATAAAGAAAATACCTATAGAATATACACAAAGAAAAATAAGAAAATAAAAGCCTGTCTCTAAAAAAACAAACAAAAAACACAAAATACCCCCAAATACAAGGGAATGTAGCAAGAGAAGAAAGCAGGAACAAAAGAGCCACAAGACAGACAGAAAACAACTAAACAGCAATAGTAAGCCTTTCCTTATCAATAATTACTTTAAATGTAAAAGACGTAAACTCACCAATCAAAATACACAGAGCAGCTGAATGAATTAAAACAACAGAAGAAGAAGACACTGCATACAAATGATTCACAATAGATTTAAGTACATATAGGCTGAAAGTGAAGGGATGGAAAAGATATTTCATGCAAATGGTAAAGAAAACAGAGCAGGAGTGGCCATACATTTATAAGAAGAAATAGACTTTAAGTTAAAAAATGGTCACAAGAGACAAAGAAGGACATTATATAATGATAAAAGGTCAGTTATCTAAGAAGAAATAACATTAATAATTTTATATTTATATATATTTATGCACACACACATATAAATACATGTACCACACATACACACACACGTACATATAAATACACACACCCAACACCAGAGCACTTAAATGTATAAAGCAAACACTGACAGAACTGAAGAAAGAAATAAGTTACAATAGTAAGACATTTCATTAACCCACATTCAATAAAGGGTAGAACGACCATGCAGAAGATCTAGAAGGAAACATAGGACATAAGCAACACTATGGAGTAAATGGACCTAACAATATATACACAACATTCACCAAACAGCAGCAGGATACATTCTCCTGAAGAGCACATGGAACATTCTCCAGGATAGATCCTAAGTTAGGCCACAGAAAAAGACTTAACAAATTTAAGAAGATTGAAATCATACCAAGTTTTTTCCGAATAAATGGAATAAAATTAGAAATCAACAGAAGGAAGGAAAACTGGGAAATTCACACATATATGGAAATTAAATAACAGTTTTGAATAGCCAATGGATTAAAGCATAAATCAAAAGGGAAATTAGAAAATATGTTGAGACATATGAAAATAAAAATACAACCTACCAAAACCTACGGGATGCAGTAAAAGCAGTACTAAGTGGGACTTTCATAGCAATAAATGACAACATTAAAATAATAGAAAATATCTCAAATAAACAATCTAACTCTATACCTCAAATATTATAAAAAGAAGATCAACCTAAGCCAAAAATTAGTATAAGGAACAAAATACTTAATAAAGCTGAAATAAACAAAATGGAGAATAGAAAACTGACAGAAAAAAATTAAATTATCACAAGAGTTGTTTTTCTTAAAATATTAATAAAAGTAACTTCGAGCTAGACTTAAAAAAAAAAAACAGGCAGAAGACACAAAATCCAAAATGAGAGAGGAAACATTACAACCATTGCCCAGAAATATGAAAGAATCATAAGAGACTATTGTGAACAATTATATACCAATAAATGAATAACTTGGAAGAAATAGATAAATTCATAGAACATACAAGCTACCAGACTGAATCATGAGGGAATGGAAAATGTAAACAGATAAGTTAGTAAGAAGATTGAATCAGAAATCCTAAAATTTCCAATAAAGAAAATCCCAGGACAAGATGGCTTCACTCCTGAATTCTACCAAACATTTAAGAATTAAAGCCGATCCTTCTCAAACTCTTCAAAAAATCGGAGAAAAGCAAACACTGCAAATTTGTCGTTGACTCCAGAACTTCCCTAATACCAAAGCCAGATGAAGACCCTACAAGAAAACTACAGACCAATATCCCTAATGAATATACATCAAAAAAATCCTCATCAAAATACTAGCAATCAGAATTTAATCACATTAAAATGACGACACATCATGACTACACGGGATTTTACGTGGGATGCAAGGATGAGTCAACATATGAAAGTCAATGAATATGACAAACCACATTAAGAGTACAAGGAATAGGCTGGGCACGGTGGCTCACGCCTATAATCCCAACACTTTGGGAGGCTGAGGTGGGTGGATCATGAGGTCAAGGGTTCAAGACCAGCCTGGCCAACATAGTGAAACCCTGTCTCTACTACAAATACAAAAAAAAGTTAGCCAAGCATGTGGCAGGCACCTGTAATTCCAGCTACTCGGGAGGCTGAGGCAGGAGAATCGCTTGAACCTGGGAGGCAGAGGCTGCAGTGAGCAGAGATTGCGCCACTGCACTCCAACCTGGGCACAGTGTGAGACTCTGCCTCAACAACAAAAAAAGAGTACAAAGAATAAAAATCACATGATTATCTGAATATATGTTGAAAAAGCATTTGACAGAATTCAACATTGTTTCATGATAAAACACTCTCAGCAAACTAGAAATAGGAGAAAATTACCTTACTCTAATACAAGCCATATATGAAAAAACCCACAGGTAACATCATATACAAAGGTGAAAATCGGAAAGCTTTTCCTCTGTCTTTAAGAACAAGGCAAAGGTACCCACTCTAACCACTTCTGTTCAACATAGGACTGAAAATCCTAGACAGAGCAATTAAGCAAGAGAAAGAAATAAAAGACATCAAAATCAGAAAAAAAAAAAACAAGTAAAGTTGTCTGTTCTTGGATGACATGATCTTATATATAGAAAATGCTAAAGATTCTACACACAAGAAAACTCAGAAGTAATGAACAAATCCCGCAAAATTGATAGAAACAAAACCAACACTGAAAAATCAGTTGTGTTTTTGTTTGTTTGGTTTTTTGGTTTTTGTTTTTTTTTTTAGATGGAGTTTCGCTCTTGTTGCCCAGGCTGGAGTGTAACGGCACGATCTTGGCTCACTGCAACCTCCGCCTCCCAGGTTCAAGCGATTCTCCTGCCTTAGTCTCCCGAGTAGCTGGGACTACAGGTGTGCACCACTATGCCCAGTTAATTTTGTATTTTTAGTAAAAGTGGGGTTTCACCATGTTGGCCAGGCTAGTCTCGAACTCCTGACCTCGGGTGATCCACCTGCCTCGGCATCCCAAAGTGCTGGGATTACAGGCGTGAGCCACCGTGCCTGGCCTAAACATCAGGTGTGTTTCTATATAGTAATGATGACTAATCAAAAAAAGGAAATTGAGAAAAATGACCTCATGTACATTAGTATCAAAAACAAAAAATACTTAATAAATTTAAGCAGGGAGATGAAAGATTTGCACACTGAAAACAACAAAACACTGACGAAAGAAATTGAAGAAGACACAAATAAATGGAAATAAATTCTGTGTTCATGGATTTGAAGACTGAATATTAAAATGTTCATACTACCCAAAACAATGTACAAATTCAATGCAGTCCTTATTACAATGAATAGCATTTTAAAAAGAAATAGGAAAAAAAAGACATATGAAACCACAAAGAACCCTGAATAGACACATTTTGAAAAAGAAGAACAAAATTAGAGGCCTCATATTTTATGGTTCCAAACATCATAAAACTACAGTTATCAAAACAATATGGTAATGATGTAAAGATAGACCCATAGATCAATGGAACATAATAGACAGCCCACAGGTATACGTTCAACTCACGTTTGACAAGAGTGCCAAGACTACAGAATGTGGAAAGAATAATCCCTTTCCACATAAGAATAAACAGTGACAGGAATTGTGGATATTCACATGCAAACTAACGATTTTGAACTATGGTGTTGCATTGTACACAAATATTAAATCAAAATGGATTAAAGAATTAAACATAAGACCTGAAATTGTAGAACTCCTAGTAGAAACCTAGGGGGAAGGTGTCAAGCCATTGGTCTTGGCAATGATTTCTTGCATGTGATATCAAAATCACAGGCAATAAAACCAAAAATAGACAAATAGGACTACATCAAATTAAAAAGCTTCTGCCCAGCAAAGGAAACACTCAACAGAGGAAAGGCAGTCTTTGGAATGGGAGAAAATATTTGCAAACTATATATCTGATAAGGACTTAATATGCAAATTTTATAGGCAACTCTTTCAACTCAATAGCAAAAAAAGGAAGAAAAAGAAAAAGAAAGAAAGAAAAGAAAAGAAAAGATTAAAAAGTGGGCAAAGGACTTGAGTAGACACTTCTCCAAAGAAGACATAAAAATGGTCACCAGGTGTAGGAAAGGGTGCTCAACACCAGGAATCATCCAGGAAATACAGGTCAAAGTCACAATGAACTATCATCTCACACCTTTTAGGATGGCCATTGTAAAACAAAAACAAAATTCAACTGTTGGCAAAGATGTGGAGAAACTGCAGCCATTACACACTGTTGGTGGGAATGTAAAATGATACAGCTCTTATAGAAAAACAGTACGGATATCCCCAAAAAGATAAAAAGAGAACTATAATGTGGTCCAGCAATGGCACATATGGGCAGTGTTCCAAAAGAATTTAAATTGGGATCTTGAAGTGATCCCTGCACTTCCATGTTCATTGCAGCATTATTCATAGTAGTCAAGAGGTGGAAATAACTTAAATGTCTATGGACCAATAAACGGATAAAGAACACATGGTATATACATACAATGGAATATTATCCAGCCATAACAGGAAGAAAATCTTGTCATATGCTACAACATTCATGAATTTTGAGGAAATTATGCTAAGTGAAATAAGCCAGACACAGAAATGCAAATACTGCATGATTCCATTTATATGAAGTACCTAAAATAGTCAAACTCAATGAAGGAGAAAGTAGAATTGTGGTTGCTATGGGCCAGGGGAGGGGAAATCAGGAGTTGCTTTTCAAAGGGTATAAAGTTTCAGTCAAGCAAAATAAAAATGTTATAGAAATCAGCTGTGCAATATTGTGTTTATAGTTAACAAGACTGTACTGTGTGTATAAAAATTTGTAAAGTGAGTAGATCTCATATGCTTAACACAATAAAAATATTTAAAAAATAATAGGAAATAAAGCCCAGTAATAGCCTTACTACTAAAATAAGTGGTAGCATGTGCCTGTCATGCGTGCCTGTCACATCTTCTTCTACCCTAAGACTTTGGTTAGTATAAAAAAATTCAACTTCTACAGTAACAGATCTTTCTCTGGGAAGTTCATTTTAGCCATTTCCTCATAAATCCCAAACAAGTATTCTTTCTAGTTCACTGACACTTCAGTGATGATGGCAAACAGATGAAACTCAGCACTTAAAAAATTAGATGTGTGGAAACACAATTAAAGTGATAGTCATTGACTACAATAATAAATAATGTTAAGTATCACAACTTCACCTAAAACAAGTGTGTGTTCTTGCAGATGCCTAAGAAGGTTTAACATGAGTTGCTCCCCAAAATAAAAAATTTTTAAAAAAGAGTGACTCCTTCTCCTTTCTCTTGAGAGAGTCTTAGAGTTATGACAGTGTCGTCAGCCACCTTTTCTTCCTGTTTAAATGACTGGCAAGGATCAGATGCTCACTACAGAATCGTGTTATTTTTCAAATAAAATCTAAAACTAAAATACTGCACTTCCCTTAAAAATGCTATACGATATGAACTTTAAAGTAGTTTTTTCCAATTCTGTGAAGAAAGTCATTGGTAGCTTGATGGGGATGGCATTGAATCTGTAAATTACCTTGGGCAGTATGGCCATTTTCACAATATTGATTCTTCCTACCCATGAGCATGGAATGTTCTTCCATTTGTTTGTATCCTCTTTTATTTCATTGAGCAGTGGTTTGTAGTTCTCCTTGAAGAGGTCCTTCACATCCCTTGTAAGTTGGAATCCCAGGTATTTTATTCTCTTTGTACCAATTGTGAATGGAGTTCACTCATGATTTGCCTCTCTGTTTGTCTGTTATTGGTGTATAAGAATGCTTGTGATTTTTGCACATTGATTTTGTATCCTGAGACTTTGCTGAAGTTGCCTATCAGCTTAAGGAGATTTTGGGCTGAGACGATGGGGTTTTCTAAATATACAGTCATGTCATCTGCAAACAGGGACAATTTGACTTCCTTTTTTCCTAATGGAATATCCTTTATTTCCTTCTCCTGCCTGATTGCCCTGGCCAGAACTTCCAACACTATGTTGAATAGGAGTGGTGAGAGAGGGCATCCCTGTCTTGTGCCAGTTTTCAAAGGGAATGCTCCCAGTTTTTGCCCATTCAGTATGATATTGGCTGTGGGTTTGTCATAGATAGCTCCTATTATTTTGAGATATTTCCCATCCATACCTAATTTACTGAGAGTTTATAGCATGAAGAGTTGTTGAATTTTGTCAAAGGCCTTTTCTATATCTATTGATGTAATCATGTGGTTTTTGTCGTTTTCTGTTTATATGCTGGATTATGTTTATTGATTTGCAAAAGAGCCTGCATTGCCAAGTCAATCCTAAGCCAAAAGAACAAAGCTGGTGGCATCATGCTACCTGACTTCAAACTATACTACAAGGCTACAGTAACCAAAACAGCATGGTACTGGTACCAAAACAGAGATATAGATCAATGGAACAGAACAGAGCCCTCAGAAATAACGCCGCATATCTACAACTATCTGATCTTTGACAAACCTGACAAAAACAAGCAATGGGGAAAGGATTCCCTATTTAATAAATGGTGCTGGGTAAACTGGCTAGCCATATGTAGAAAGCTGAAAATGGATCCCTTCCTTACACCTTATACAAAAAATTAATTCAAGATGGATTAAAGACTTAAACGTTAGACCTAAAACCATAAAAACCCTAGAAGAAAACCTAGGCAATACCATTCAGGACATAGGCATGGGCAAGTACTTCATGTCTAAAACACCAAAAGCAATAGCAACAAAAGACAAAATTGACAAATGGGATCTAATTAAACTAAAGAGCTTCTGCACAGCAAAAGAAACTACCATCAGAGTGAACAGGCAACCTACAGAATGGGAGAAAATTTTTGCAATCTACTCATCTGACAAAGGGTTAATATCCAGAATCTACAATGAACTCAAACAAATTTACAAGAAAAAAACAAACAACCCCATCAACAAGTGGGGGAAGGACATGAACAGACACTTCTCAAAAGAAGACATTTATACAGCCAATAGACACATGAAAACATGCTAATCATCACTGGCCATCAGAGAAATGCAAATCAAAACCACAATGAGATACCATCTCACACCAGTTAGAATGGCGATCATTCAAAAGTCAGGAAACAACAGGTGCTGGAGAGGATGTGGAGAAATAGGAACACTTTTACACTGTTGGTGGGACTGTAAACTAGTTCAACCATTGTGGAAGTCAGTGTGGCAATTCCTCAGGGATCTAGAACTAGAAATACCATTTGACCCAGCCATCCCATTACTGGGTATATATCCAAAGGATTATAAATCATACTGCTATAAAAACACATGCACATGTATGTTTATTGAGGCACTATTCACAATAGCAAAGACTTGGAACCAACCCAAATGTCCAACAATGATAGACTGGATTAAGAAAATGTGGCACATATGCACCATGGAATACTATGCAGCCATAAAATATGATGAGTTCATGTCCTTTGTAGGAACATGGATGAAGCTGGAAACCATCATTCTCAGCAAACTATCGCAAGGACAAAAAACCAAACACCGCATGTTCTCACTCATAGGTGGGAATTGAACAATGAAAACACATAGACACAGGAAGAGGAACATCACACACTGTGGACTGTTGTGGGGTGGGGGGAGGGGGGAGGGATAGCATCAGGAGATATACCTAATGTTAAATGACGAGTTAATGGGTGCAGCACACCAACATGGCACATGTATACATACGTAACAAACCTGCACGTTGTGCACATGTACCCTAAAACTTAAAGTATAAGAAAAAATGCTACATGATAGGAATGAAAATCGGTTGATATAGGGTGATCACAAATTACTAATTTTTACTTTTACCATTCTGTTTTCCCCTCCTATTGTAGTAGCATTTTTTGTATTACAAATGGAAAGTAGAAGGTAATAATATTCCTGAAACAAAACATAGTGAAAATCATCTGAAGAATAAACAAAACGAAGAGAAAAAAATAAAGACAATGCCACAAGTAGTCGAAATTAAACAGGAGTCCTTGAAGGTGTATATATTTTTGAAGATATTTTTCATAATGTGCTTAAACTTAATTGGGGAGGTAGTGTGGTGCAGAGGAAAGAATGCACACTGCAGAATCTTGCCATTTTCTATCTGTCAGACCTTAGACAATCCAACTAATTTTCATATCTTCACAGAATAGGAATATTGTCAACCACAAAATAGGAATATTCTCAGCTAATGTATCAGCTTGCTGTGAGAATTACAGATTATTTTGTGTATTGGCCACCTGCTGATATATATGTGTCTCAGAAATACAGAATTAAAAATGTGTAATTGTTCAGTAAATTATAGCCAATATTATGGTCACAGTCACGATTTATTGTTTGGGTGAAGAGACTTTTGCCCATTAACAGTCTTTCCTGTCCTCACTTTCTACATGTTCCCTAAACCTACAAAAGACCCTTTGTTTCTTCAGTAGCTAAAAGCTGTCAACATTTGAAGAAACGTTTGTCACTTCTCTTGGCTCTCCTATTACATAACCTCTCTCAGTCTTGGTATGTAGCTATACGCAGTACATCCAAGTAATCCTGACTGACTTTAATACTCTCTCACTTGTCTGTCTTTATTAACTCTCAGGGGAAGATGTCTGGTTTGTATGGCCTAAAATTTATACAGTTTGTTCTTTTTAAAAAAAGAAATATAAAATTTTGAATACAAAATTACATGGAGAATGTTTCTTTATACTGTGAAAGGTGATCACAACAAATTTGAAAAAACTGACATATACCTTCAAAAAACAGTCCCAAAAAACATTTTTATTAATGACTGCTCAAAACACCGTTCTCCCTACAATTTTGGCTGCATATTTCTGATCCTCTTTTAATATGACAGAGATTGTTATTCTGTCTAGAGATAATGAGGACTAATTCTTTCTATTAGCATAGTGTGTTTTGTTAATAAATGGTATAAACAGGTTTTGTCAGGTTTACAACTCATACTGATAGTGTTATTTAATGTTTAGGTTTTTTTTTTAATTTGAGGAACCTCTTTTATATGAATTGTAAGAATTCAGTGTACTTTAAGTTTTCTTCTTCCAAAGGTAATCCTAAATATTATTGCAAATAATGATGCTCATTAGCCAATTTGCTGTCAATAACTCATTTCGGTGGCATAATGTTCTATGTTATCTTTGTTGATGTCAACATTCCTAATTAAACTGGCAAGAAATTTAATTACATTTCAATACAGTTCATATAACTCACTCCTCTTCATTAATTGACTCATCAGACAAATACAAGAGCCTGTTCATTACTTCTAATAGAACTTTATCTCTTCCTGTTATTACTATTTTGATTTATGATCTAAATTTTAATTACTTTGTTATATTGTCTTGTTTCATTATTTCTTGATGTCATAATTATTTCTATTAATCCCATTGACCTTTATTATTTTCATTTCATCTTGCATTCGACAATTGTTTGATTTTTCTCTAACATGTTTTGTTTTAAAGATGGATAAAACAAGAGAAGATAAAATTCATGTATTTCAAATCAGGAACCTATTGTTTATCCTTGTTTTATTAAGACTTTTCAAAATAAAACTCTTTCAAATTGCAGATAAAATGACATACACCCAGATCTACTACTCGTTAGCTATATCTTCAACATGTGCATAGTCCTCCAATATAATTGGAAGTAGGTATGTGTGCCGGAGGATTCATGATAGAAAGAGATAGTTGTCTTAACAGGGTGTC
The DNA here is from genome assembly GCF_000001405.40 of Homo sapiens. Classification (NCBI taxonomy): domain Eukaryota; kingdom Metazoa; phylum Chordata; class Mammalia; order Primates; family Hominidae; genus Homo; species Homo sapiens. The sequence goes on from NC_000023.11 coordinate 33,445,965, forward strand.
ATGATGTATTGTTTTTGTGTCTTTTACAAAATTATATGAGCACAAAAACATTTTGCTAGGAACTCTTCCAGTTTTCAACGTTTAAGCTTGATTCCTTAGTTTCAGGGTAAATTTGTCTCTATCATTAAGACTTTAAAGGTGCCCCTATATCTTACATCCTAAGATAATGTGCCTTTTCTGTTGTGCAAACTTTTAAAGCCTTCTTTCAGTCCTTTTCGTCATAGCCAAACTTTCCTAGACAATAGTTTTCTAATTCATTACAATGTCTTCTGATCCTGATTCTACATATTAAACATATGAATTTTAACAAAAATCTCTTCCTTAGAAAATACAATATACTCTTTTTCTTTTCATGTTCTATAATGATGTTTTAGCATTTTCTCTTTAGTTGGTGTTACTGGACTGAATATTTGTGTTCCCCAAAATTTAGATGTTGAAATCCTAATTGCTAAGCTGATGGTATTAGGTCGTGGGACCTTTGAGAGGTGATTAGGTCATGAGGATAGAACCCACATGAATGAGATTAGTTCTCTTATAAAACAGACCCTCCCCTGCCCCCAGAGCCCTCTTTCTTTTTCCCATCACCATGTGAAGATAGAAGAAGTTGGCAGTCTGCAACACGGATGAGAGCCATCACTCAAACTTGACCATGCTGGCATTGTAATCTTGGATTTCTAGCACTCTCACCTTGGATGTCCAGCGATAAATAAGTGTTTGCATTTAAGTCACTGAATCTATGGTAATTTTTTACAGCAACCAAACTGAATAACACAGTGGTCATTTTCTTCTTAAAATTCTGTCTTCCTTTTGCTTTCTTTACTTCCCTATTTTCCTTCTGGTCATTTCTTCTTGGTTACATTTATGGACTTTTCTTCTGCTGCTTTTCTTAAATGTATCTCTCAAGTCTTTTTTTTCCTTGGTCTTGTCTTTTCCTCACTCAAAGATCTCTCCCCATCCACACTTATTGCTTTAAGTACTGTTATTTTTGGAGAAATCCCTGAATTATACTTCTAACCCGTACTATTAGCTCCAGCCAATTTCCCATCAGGTATTCAAAACTCAGAAAATCCCCAGATGAATTATTCTCTTAATAGCTTCTTCCTTATTTTGTGTCACAGTGAACTACATTATCATTTAAAAATGTGTTCCAATATGGAAATAACTTTGTATTATTTCCTTCAGCCATCATTTTTGGGGTAAGGGGTCCATAAAAACATCTCTATTCAAAGGCATAAAGATCCTTCTCTCCTGGTCAATTGAAAAAGAAATATGTTTGAGAATTTATATTGGGACTAATTTCTTCTTATTTATGTGAATTAACTTTCACTATCATACACTGAGTGAAATCAAAATTTTCAACAAAAATCAGAGGAATAGTTTTAAGCAAAAGGATACTTTCTAAAATAACGCATAAGTTCCCTATCAGCTATATCCAGCACTGAGCTGACAGTCATAGGCCTTCTTGAAATGCACCTGATCTATCATGGCTGCAATAATCACAGGCCTTGCATAAATCCTCTAAGAGGAGCCAGGAAATGAATAAGATGTCCATGCTCTATTTATAGCATACAAAGGTCAAGTTTCTAGCTTCACTGTTTATTTATCCAGTTTCTTACTGGCTGCCACAGATCTTCAGCTGGGAACTCACAGAGGACAGTAGCCATGGTCGGTACTCAATCGGAAAAATTAACTGGAGTTCAGGTAATGTGGAATGTTTTGATAGGTTGCACATGCAGCTACTTTAGTATTTGACATAAGCAGGTTATAAGATTATAAGGCCATGCTGAGAAACATATCACCCAGGAAATAATTAATTCTTGTATTTGAATATGTTCTAAGATACCTTCCTATCACCTTATGTTTATAATGAGGTCTATTTCCTTAACATACTTACTGAAACACAGGGCAAGATGGATTTGTCATCTTGCCAATTCCGGGTGAAAAATGTCAAGACTGTGTGTGTGTGAGTGTGTGTGTAGGAGTGTGCATTTGTGGAAGGGAATGTGTCGAGGGAGAAAAGGAAGAAGGGAGAGAGAGGAAAAGGCAGTATCTGGGGGGCGGGGGAGGTGGCCAGGATGGCCGACTAGAAGTAGCTAGTGTGTGCAGCTCTCAGAGAATGGATGGGATGAGTATATAACCTTCAACTGAAACATTCAGATACATGCATTGGAACTAACTGGAGAATCAAATCTCTGTTCTCGACTCATGGAGAACAGAGAAAAGCAAGGCAGGATGACAGCCCACCCAGGCACAACATGGAGCCAGGGGAACCTCTCCAACCCAGGGATGTGGTGAGTGAATGAGTGACTCCAGGAAATCATGCTTCTTCCATGGATCTTTGCAACCCTTGGATCAGGAGATCCCCTCATAAACCCACTCCAGCAGGGCAGTCAGGCAGACACACAGAGCTATGTGCAACCTTGGCAGAGCAGCCACTCAGGCACATGCAAAGACCCAGGAGCCTTAGCTATCCAGGCTTTCCAGGCTTCCTGGCAAAGGTAGCTGCAACTCCAACAAAAAGGGAGGTTAGATCCCTGTACATAACTCTAGGAAAGGGGCTGAATCCAGGGGCTGAGTGGCAACAGTTGGCAGGTCCCATTTCCACAGCACCTGATAAGACCCACTGGCTTGGAATTCCAGCCAGCCAGTGGTAGCAGCAGTGCACCTCCCTAAGACAGAGCTCCCAAGGGGAGTGGCAGGCTGTCATCTTTGCTATTTTGGTGACTTAGCCATTCCAGCCTTTGGGTTTTGGAGAGTCCAAGATGACCAGGGACAGAAATGGTCCCTCAGAACAGCATAGCTGCTCTACCAAAATGTGGCCAAACTGCTTTTCCAAGTGGGTCTCTGATCCCATTCTTCCTTACCGGGCAAGACCTCCCAAACAGGGTCTCCAGTCACCCTCACCAGTGCTCTCTAGCTGACAGATTTCAAACATCCCGGCCTCAGAGATGCCAGAGGGTGGAGCAGGCCTCCCTGCTTTTTTAAGTGGGTCTCTGATCCCATTCTTCCTTACTGGGCAAGACTTCCCAAACAGGGTCTCCAGCCACCCCCACCAGTGCTCTCCAGCTGACAGAGATTTCAAACATCCCTGCGGCAGAGATCCCAGAGGGTGGAGCAGGCCACCATCTTTGCTATTTGGGTGAATTAGCTGTTCTGGCCTTTGGGCTTTGGAATGTCCAAGGCGACCAGGGGCTGAAGTAGAACCACAGTACAGCACAGCTTCTCTATGAAAATGTGGCTAGACTGTTTTTTAAAGCTGGCCCCCATCTCATTCCTCCTCACTGTGTGGGACCTCCCAGATCGGGTCTCTAGCCACTTCCTACAAGTGCTTTCAGGCAGCAACATGTCCGTATCTCCCTGGGATGAAGCTCTCAGAGGGAGGGGTAGGCTGCCATCTTTGCTGTTTTGTAGCCTTCACAGTTGATACCTCCAGGTACTGGAAAATCCGAGGTGACTAGGGACTGGAGTGAGCCTGCAGCGTACCACAGCACCCCTACGGAAAACTGGCCAGATTGTTACGTGAGTGCCCATTCCCATATCTCCTCACCATGCAGGTCCTCCAGGCCTTGGCCTCCAGCAACCCCCTGCCAGAGCTATTAAGCCAGGAGCAGCTCTGCAACTTCCTGGACACAGCCCCCAGGGGCAACTGAAAGCCTCTCTGCCACTGCCTCTACAGTGGAACTGCCCTTGCTACTCTCAGACTAATGAAGGAGCAAAGACCCTAAGTGCCTTAAACAAATCTCCAGCAAGATGCAGGCAACAGAGAGGAGGTCAGTCTGTCTCCCATAGGTCCCAGATACTCCCCACTGCTCATAATGAGACAGAAAAGCCTCAGCTTGGGCCCACAGCACAGACACTTCATCCTGGGCTGATTGTACAGATTGCTGACCTACATCTCTCTGGGGTGGAGCCTCCAGCAGATAAGCAAAAGACCCTTCGGCACAAGTTCCCTTCTTCTCTGCCTCCAGGTTGGGGTAGGAACGTGAACACTGAGATCATCCCAGAGTTGCAATGGGCAGCACAGGGGTGCCACGCTAAGATCTACAGCCAGCACTCAAAGGGGAGAGGAACCCACACTCTCAGAGCATTGAGAGGGAACACAGCTGTAACTGTGAGGAAACACAGGGAAGCCACCCAACTGAGCAAGAGTCTACCAACTGAGCAATATGTCTAAGTGTCCAAAGCTTCAGCCCTCAAAATACCTTGCTAACATACCCCCTCTGAAACCAAAGACAAGAAGTCAGCTTCAAATAAAGACCATTCACAAAGGCTTGGCCTGGTGAAAACATCCAGAAAACAAGTCTATTGACTGCATTCAATCTATACTACAGTAAAAGGAACACCCACATGCAGAGATCAGAGAGAATCAACCCAAGAACTCCGGTAACTCAGATGGCTAGAGTGTCGTATGTCTTCCAAACAGCTGCATGAGCTCTCCAACAAGAGTTCTTAATCAGGCTAAATTGGCTGAAATGATAGAAATGGAATTCAGAATATGGATAGAAATGAAGATCACTGAGATTCAGGAGAATGGCAAAACCCAAACCAAGGAAACTAAGAATCAGAATAAAATAATAAAAGAGCTGAAGTACACAATAGCAGGTATAAAAAAGATCCCGATGGATCTGACAGAGCTGAATCACACAAAACAAGAATTTCACAATGCAATTACAAGATTTAACAGCAGAATAAACCATGCTGAGAAAAGGATCTCAGAACTTGGAAGACTGGCTCTCTGAAATAAGACAGTAAGAAAAAATTTAAAAAAGAAAAGAAGAAAACCTCTGAGAAGTAGGGGATTATGTGAAGAGGCCAAATGTATGAATCATTGACATCCCTGAAAGGGTGAGCAAACAACTTGGAAAATATATTTCAGGATATTTTCCATGAAAATTTTTCCAACCTTCTTAGAGAGGCTAAGAGTCAAACTCAGGAAATATAGAGAACCCCTGCAAGATTCTACACGATAAAATCAACCCCGAGACAGATAATCATCAGATTTTCCACGGTTGAAATGAAAGAATATTAAAGGAGCTGGAGAGAAAGGGCAGGTCACTTACAAAGGGAACCCCATCAGCCAAAAAACAGATGTCTCAGCTGAAACCCTAAAAGCCAGAAAAGATTGGGGGCCTATATTCAACATTCTTAAAGAAAAAATATCTTCTACCAAGAATTTCACATCCAGACAATCTAAGCTTCCTAAGCAAAAAAGAAATAATATACTTTTCAGATAAGGTAATGATGAGGGAATTCATTACCACCAAACCTGCTTTACAAAGAGACTTTAAAAGAAGCACTAAATATAGGAAAAAAAAGATTGCTACCAACTAATACAAAAACACTCTTAAATACACAGACCAGTTACACTATAAAGCAACCACACCAACAAGCCAGAATAATAACCAGCTAACAACACAATTACGGGATCAAATCCACACATATTGACACGAATTTTGAATGTAAATGGGATAAATGATCCATTAAAAAGCACAGAGTGGCACTATCTCATTCCAGTCAGAATGGTCATTATTAAAAAGTCAGAAAATAACAGATGGTGGTGAGGTTGCAGAGAAAAGGGAGCAGTTATACACTGTTGGTGGGAGTCTAAATTACCTCGGCCATTATGAAAAACAGTATGGTGATTCCTCAAAGGGCTAAAAGCAGAACTACCATTCAACCAAGCAATCCCATTACTGGGTATATAGCCAGAGGAATATAAATCATTCTACCATAAAGACACATGCATGCGAATGTTCATTGCAGCACTATTCACAATAGCAAAGACATGAAATCAACCTAGATGCCATCAATGATAGACTGAATAAAGAAAATCTGGTACATATACACCATGGAATATTATGCAGCCATGAAAGGAAGTAGATCATGTCTTTTGTGGGAACATAAACGGAGCTGGAGGCTATTATCTTTAGTAAAATCGGGCAGGAACAGAAAACCAAATATCACAAATTTTTCATGTATAAGTGGAAGCTAAATGATGAGGACTCATGAACACAAAGAAGGGAACAACAGACACTGGGTTCTAGTTGAGGGTGGAGGGTGGGAGGAGGGAGTAGAGCATAAAAGAAAACTATTGGGTACTGAGTTTCATACCTGGGTGATGAAATATCTGTACAACAAACCCCCATGACACAAGTTTACCTATATAACAAACCTTCACATGTACCATTGAACCTAAACTAAAAGTCAAAAAAAAAAAAAAAAGAAAACATTTGTGTCAGTGCCAGAAATAAAGACACTGAAAATGTGCACAAAAGAAAAAGACAGTAAAAAATTAGAAATAATTTTAAACTGGCTTTCTAGTATTACCATATTATTCAACACTGCAACCATCTCTAACACTTCCAAATCTTTTTTCCACACCATCCTCTTTTCTACAGCATATGTACCTGTTTTAGTTGAGTCTTCCACCATTATATAGCCTTGAATGTTAAAAAAAAAAATCAAATACTAAATGTCCCTGCTTTGGCTTTTCTACTTATCACATGAATCTATAACATACCCATGAGGTTGACTTTTCAAAATACAAATGTGTTTATATTGCTTCACTTTTAAAATGATCCACTCTATCCCCAATAACTTAAACATAAAAATTAAAAGTCAATATTCCCTCAAATGAAGACATACAAATGGCCAACAAGTATATGGAAAAATATTTAACATTGCTAGTCATCACAGAAATGCAAATCAAAACCACAATGAAATATTTTCTCACCCCAGTTAGGATAGCTAGTATCAAAAAGACCAAAAACAACAAATGCTGACAAGGATGCAGAGAAAACGGAGCTCTTATGTAGTGTTGTTGGGAATGCAAAGTAGTATAGCCTCTAAGGAAAACAGTACAGAGGTTCCTCAGAAAACTAAAATAGAACTACCATATGATCCAGCAATCCCACTACTAGGCATGTATCCAAAGGAGAGGAAATCAGTACATAAAAGTGATATCTGCACCTCCATGTTTATTGCAGCACTAATCGCAATAGACAAGATATGAAATAAACCCAGCTGTCCAAAAACAGATAGGTGGATAAAAAAAAATATGGTATATATACTCAATGGAGAACTATTTATGCATAAAAGGAATGACATCCTGTCATTTGCAGCAACGTGAATGGAACTGACCTACATCAAGTGAATAAGCCAGGAACAGAAAGTAAAACACTGCATGTTTTCACTCATACACAGAAGTTTTTAAAAAAAGTTTATCTTATATAAGTAAAAGTGGAATAGAGGTTACTAGAAGCTTGGAAGGGAAGGGAGAAGAGAGGAATAGAGAGAGCACTGGTAAAGGAAATAAAATTTCTGCTAGAAAAAAGCAGTAAGTTCTAGAGTTTCATAGCACCATAGGATAACTATAGTAAATATTAATGTGTATTTTCAAATAGCTAAGAGAGAGGACAGTAAACATTCCCAACACAAAAAAAAATAAATGTTTGGAATAATCATGAATATGCAAATTATCCTGATCTGATCACTATACATTGTATGTGTTAAAATGTCACTATGTATCCCCAAAATATGTACAATCATTATGTGCCCATTTAAATCATCAATATCAATTCACGTTTTGACCCTTACATGGGCCTCAATTAATAGACTGCATGTGAGATGATTGAGGGTAGAGAACATAAATATCTGTGAGTGTGATAAAATACTTGTTTTACTTGGGGACAGATGTGAAAGTAGAATAATAAAATTGTTAGGAAAATATAAATATGTGTGTAGATAATTTCTTTATAATTCAGATGTAAGTATTTGAACAATACACTAGGTTATTATGCTTCTACTGGTATGAGATATTTAGTCTGTACAATGTACAGCAGGATATAAGCAAAAATTAAACAAGAAATATGGCATTTCAAAAAGTAAGAGGAATGGCAGAGACACATTGGAAAGATAAATCTTCAGTCCAATATCTGATGAACATAGACACAAAAATCCCTAACAAAATACGGGCAAACCAAATCCAGAAGCACAACAAAAAATTAATTCACCACAGTCAAGAAGGCTTCACTCTTGGAATGCAAGATTGGACCAACACACACAAATCAATAAATGTGGTTCACCATAAAAACAGAAGTAAAATCCAAAACAATATGATTATCTCAATAGATATAGAAAATACCTTCGATAAAATTTGGTATCACTTTATGTCATCAAAGGAACATATCTCAAAATAATAAGATCCACCTATGGCAAACCCACAGCCATTATACTAAATCGGCAAATGCTGGAGGAATACCCCTTGAGAACCAGAACAAGACAAGGATGCCCACTCTCACCACTCCTATTCAATACAGTGTTGGAAGTCTTAGCCAGAACAATCAGGCAAGAGAAAAAAAGCGAATCCAAATAGAAAGAGAGGAATTAGAATTATCTCTCTTCACAGATGATATGATTCTAAACCTGGAAAACCCTGAATATTCCACGAAAACTACTAGAACTGATAACTTCTGTAAAGTTTCAGGATGCAGAATCAATGAACAGAAATCAGTAGCATTTCTGTACACCAATAATGTATAAGCTGGGGGCCAAATCAAGAGAGCAATCCTATTTACAATAGCCACAAAAAGAATAAAATACCTAGGAATACAGCTCATCAAGAAAGTGAAAGATATCTGCAAGGAGAATTACAAAATACTGTTAAAGGAAATCAGAGTTGATACATACAAATGGAAAAACATTCCACACAAGGATAACAATAATCAATATGGTTAAAATGGCCATACTTCCCAAAGCAATTCACAGAATCAATGCTCTATCAAACTACTAATGTCATTTCCACAGAATTATGAAACACTATTCTAAAGTTCATGTAGAATCAAAAAAAGAGCCCAAATAACCACAGCAATCCCAAGCAAAAAGAACAAAGTTGGAGACATCATGTTACCCAACTTCATACCCTACTACAAGGCTACAGTAAACAAAACAGCATAATACATGTACAAAACCAGAAGCATAGACCAATGGAACAGTTTAGGGAACCCAAAAATAAAGCCGCATACCTACAACCATTTGATCTTTGACAAAGTCAACAATAATAAGCAATAGAGAAAGGACTTCCTGTTCAACAAATGATGCTGGGGTAACTCGCTAGCCATATGCAGAAGATCGTATCTGGACCCCCTTCCTTGCATCATATACAAAAATTGACTCAAGATGCGTTAAAGACTTCAATGTAAGAACTAAAAGTATAATAATCCTAAAAGAAAACCAAGGAAACACCATTTTGGACATCAGCCTTAGGAAAGAATTTATGACCAAGTCTTCAAAAGCAACTGCAACAAAAGCAGAAATTTACAAGGGAGATCTAATTAAACTAAAGAGCTTCTGCACAGCAAAACAATCAACAGAATAAACAGACAACGTAGAAAATTAGACAAAATAGTCACAAACCGTGTATCTGACAAAAGTATGACATCCAAAATCTACAAAGACCTCAACAATTCAACTTGCAAAAAAAGGGCAGAGCGTCATGGCAGAATGGAAGGCTCCATGCTGATCTCCCCAAAAAGGATGCCAATTTAACAACTATCTACATAAAAGAAAAGCACCTTCATAAGAACCAAAAATCAGGTGAGCACGTACAGTACCTGATTATAACTTCACATCTCTGAGAAAGGCACTGAAGGGTAGAAAAAGCAGTCTTGAATTGTTGACACCACCCTTTTTCCCCTTCCCCCGGCATTGGCAGCATGGTGCACACGGCATTTTTGTGTGATGGATAGAGGGAGAGTGCAGCAATTCTGGGGCATTGAACTCAGTGTTGCCCTGTTATGGCAGAAAGAAAAACTGGTCTACACTCAGCTGACACCCACCCACAGAGGGAGTATTTAAAACAGCCATAGCCAGAGGTGAAGTGCTGATCCCAGCAGTCAGAACTTGAGTTCTCACAAGCCTCACCACTGTGTGATAATGAACTCTGGGGTCCTAAATAAACTTGAAAGGCAGCCCAGGGCACAAGGACTGCAACTCCTAGGTGAGTCCTAGTGGTGAACTTGACCCAGAGCCTGTGGACTTGGGTAGGGGAGTGGCACACAACTTACTAAGACACCAGCTGGTGTGGCTAGAGAGTGCTGGCGTGATAGCCCACGGCTTCAAAGGAGACCTCTTCTTTCTGCTTGAGGAGAAGAGACGGAAGAGTGGGGATGACCTTGTCTTGCATCATGGATACCAGCTCAGCCACAGGAGGATAGGGCACCAGTCAGAGTTGTAAAGCCTCTATTTCAGGACCTAGCTCCCAGATGACATTTCTGGACACACCCTGGGCCAGAAGGAATTCTGCTGCCTTGAGGATCCAGTCCTGGCAGAATTTGTCACCTGTTAACTGAATAGCCCTTGGGTCCAGAATAACCTGCTGTGATACCCATGCACTATGTTAAGGGCCTTGTGTGAGACTCAGATTTGCTGGCTTCAGGTGAGACTCAGCACATTCTAAGCTGTGGTGGATACAGAGAGTGACACCTTCTGCTTGAGAAAAGCAGAGGAAAAAGTAAAGACCTTTTCTTGTACCTTACGTACCAGGTTGGCCACAGGGGTATAGAGAACCAAGCAGGCTCTTGGATTCCCCAATTCTAGAACTTGGCTCTTGGACGGCATTTCTGGACCTGCCCTGAGACAGAGGGGAGGTCATTGCCCTGAAAGGTGTGTCCCAGGCCAGGCAATATTCACCACAAACTGACTGCAGAGCCTGAAGAAAACATTGGCAGTAGTCTGGCAGTACTCCCTGTGGGCCTCTAGTGGCAGTGTCCATGGTGTGAGGCTCCTCTGCCTTTGGAAAGGAGAGGAAAGAGTGAAAAGGACCGCATCTTGTGGTTTGAATGCCAGTTCAGCCACAGTACAATAGAACACCGGATAGAGTTAGTAGGTTTTCGACTCTAGCCCTTGGCTCCTGGACAGCACCTCTGGATCCACCTGGGGCCTGATGGAACTCACTGCTCTTATGGGAATGACATAGGCCTGGCTGTCTTTGCCATCTGCTGATTGTAGAGCCCAAGGGCCTTGAGAGAACATAGGTGGTAGCCAGGGAGTGGTTGCAGAAGGCCTTGGGTGAGACCCAGGGCTGTGCTGGCCTCCAGTCTGACCCAGAGCAGTCCTTGTGGTGGTGGCTAGAGGGGTACTTGTGTCACTCTACCCCTCCTGCTCCAGATAGCTCAGAATGGAGAGACACTGTTTGTTTGGAAGGAAGTAAGGGAAGTGAACAAGAGTTTCCGCCTGGTAATCCAGAGAAGGCAGCCACTTCCCAGAGCTCCACTAGGGAGTTCCCCAGTGGGGACTCTAAGTGTGGGCATCGACTCCACATTTCCCCTTGCACTGCCCTACTATAGTCTCTCTGTGGGAGCTCTGCCACTATGGCAGGCTTCTGCCTGGGCACCCAGGCTTCCTGATACAGCCTGTAAAATCTGGGAGGAAGTTGCCAAGTGTCCTTCACTCTGGCAATCTGTGTGCCTGCAGACTTCACACCACATGGAAACTGCCAAGGTTTACAGCTTGTGCCCTACAAAGTGGTAGCCTGAGCTGTACCTGGGGCCCTTTGAGCCACGGTTGGAGCTAGAGTGGGCTGAATGTGGGAAACAGTTTCCTGAGGCTCCACAAGGAAGCAAACCTGCTCTGCCCCCTACCTTTTCTCCATTGTTTTAGATATTAGCACTTGGCTCCCTTTTAGTCACACAAATCTCACTAGCAAGTGGTTGCTCTGCATCCTGCTTGCATTCTTCTGAAAACGCTCTAAAAAAAAAAAAAAAAAAAAAAAAAAAAAAAAGATAACCAGGCTGTGAATTTTCTGCTTCTCTTTTAATTGTAAGTTCCAAATTTAAGTCATTTCTTTGTTCCCGTATCTGATAGGGTTTTAGAAGCAGCTATTCCACATCTTAAGTGCTTTGCTGCTTAGAAGTTACTTTGACTAGATACTCTAGTTCATCATTCTTAAGTTCAACTTTCCATAGATCCCTAGGACATGGACACAATGCAGCCAAGTTATTTGCTAGGGTGTAACACAGGTAAAATTTACTCCAGTTTCCAATAATTTCCCTATTTCCATCTGAGGAAATGGAAGCCTGGCCTTCTATCAACATTTTGGTGAGAACTACTTAACAAGTCTGTAAGAAGTTTCAAACTTGCCTCATCTTCCTGCATTCTTCTGAGCCCTCCAAATTCTTCCAACCTCTGTTTATTACCCACTTAAAAAGACACTTCCACATTTTCAGTTATCTTTATAGCAATGCCCTACTGATTGGTACAAATTTTCTGTGTTAATCCATTAGCATTACTGTAAAGGAATACAGGAGATTCATTAATTTATAAAGAAAAGAGGTTTATTTGGCTCACGGTTCTGTAGGCTGTACATTAAGCAAAGTGCTGCATGTGCTTCTGGTGTGGTCCTTGTGAAGCTTACAATCATGGTGGAAAGAAAAGGGAAGCAGGTGTGCCACATGGTGTGAGAGGGAGCAAGACAGAGATGGGAATGTTCCAGGCTCTTTTAAGCAACCAGATCTCAACTATCAGAACAAGAACTCACTCATTACCGTGGAAAGGGCAAGAAACCATTAATGAGGCATCTGCCCTCATGACCCAACCACCTCCCACCAGACCCACTTCCAATATTGGAGTTCACATTTCAACATGAGATTTGGAGGGGACAAAATACCCAAACCATATCAGCAAATTAGTTGAGTCACTGTGGAAAGCAGTTTGGACATTTCTCAAAGAACTTAAAACAGAATTATCATTCACCCAGCAATCCCATTACTGGGTATATACCCAGAGGAATATAAATCATTCTATCATAAAGACACATGCACATGTATGTTCATGATAGCACTGTTCACAACAGTAGCAACATGGATCAACCTACATGCCCATCAATGGTACACTGGATAAAGAAAATGTGGTACATATACATCATAGAGTACTATGCAGCCATTATAAAGAATTAAATGATGACCTTTGCAGCAACATAGATACAGCTGGAGATTGTTATTCTAAGTGAATTAATGTAGGAACAGAAAACTAAATACTGAATGTTTTTACTTACAAGTGGGGGATAAACATTAAATACACATGGACAGAAAAATGAGAACAATACACACTGGGACTGTTCCAGCAGAAAGATTAGAGGCGGGCATGGGTTGGAAGGCTAGCTTACAGGTACTATGCTCACTACCTGGATGATAGTATCATTCATACACCAAGCCTCAGTTACATGCAATTCACCCAAGTAACAAACCTGTACATGTACCCCTGGAACCTAAGATAAAAGAAAAAAAAATGGTAAACAAAAAATCATAATAATTTTGTTTCAAAAACACAAATACACAGATTAATATCTAAATACTAAATAAAATATTACAGGCTTGCTTTCACAGAAGAAAAATTGGTACATATACATCGTGGAATACAATGCAGCTATAGAGAATGAAATCATGTTCTTTGCAGCATCATGGATGCAGCTGAAGGCCATCATCCTATGTGAATTAATGAGGAACAGAAAACCAAATACTGCCTGTTCTCACTTATAAGTGGAAAGTTAATGCTGAGTACACACAGACACAAAGATGTGAACAACAAACATTGGAGACTACTAGAGATGGGAGGATGGGATGGGGGCAAGGATTGAAAGCCTATCAGGTACTATACCTGGTACCTGGGTGATGGGATCATTCATCCCCAAACCTCAGCATCACACAATATAGCCATGTAATATACCTGTACATGTACCCTCGAATCTAAAATAAAATTTTAAAAAAATAACAAATAATGAGGGTACAAGGACACATAGATGAAAACAATAGACATTTGAGACTACTTGGGGGGAGAATTAGAGGGGGGAAAGGGTTTAAGTACGATCAGGTAGTATGCTCAATACCTGAGTGACAGGATCATTCATGTATCAAACTCCAGAGACATGAAATTTACCCATGTAAGAAACCTGCACATGTACCCCCTTAACCTAAAACAAATTTTTTAAAAAAGGGAATGAAGTTGTAATTTAACACAAGGAAAACTGACGATTCATTTCATTTGGCTAGTATACAACCTTGACTTCAAGGTACTTTTAAGGATAGTAAAATAAAATTGTAGGCTTACTTTACCTATTAACATAGAAATAAGTTATACAAATCTGATGATTACATTTAAGAGACATATTTTCAAGTAGAGTGATTTGCTTTTATCAGGAGTACATCAGAAAAGGAGAAATATCAAAGCTGTCTTAATATAATTATTACAGTAATTTGAATCAAGGAGAATACGAATTTCAGAAATAATTATGTACCAAAAACCTACAGCAAGCATTTAATGGACAAACTTGAGATATATTCTTTTTAAATCAGAAACAAGGCAAGCATGATTTATATCATCGTTATCGTTTAACAAAGTATTTGTATACCTGACCATTACTATAGGACAACAAAAAGGGGAAACATGAAACCTAAGAATTAGACGGTAGAAATCTGAGTTTGGTACATGTTATGATGATCTACATTAAAAAAAGAAAGAAAGAACAGACAAGGCATTAGAACTAATAAGAGAGCACAGTGAAGCTACTAAATATTTAATCTAACCAAACCAATTAATAATTTTATTCCATGCTAGTAAAACCAAACGTAAAACATAAGAGCAAATTGAGTGCTATTTACAAAAGCAACAGAATTTGTGCAGAGCCCATTATTTAACTTAAAGAATGCACACTAAGATACAGGTAAGGGAATAGGTAAAAGGCTAACGAAACAAGTAAGCTCAGAGGGGAATCTGGGCAAAATATATAAAGGACCCTCTGTGGTATTTTGCAACATCTCATGAATATGTAAATATTTTAAATATAAATTTTTTAAAAAGCTTAAAGACAGACCCACGTATTTAAGGTGAGTTGATGTATTATAAAAGTGATACAAAAAATAAATTGACAAAAAGACTGCTTAGTTGATTTTGTGGGGAATATTGATCACTAATTGGCAAACAATAAAAATGATTTCTGATTTAAAAGAAGATGTAATTACAGATGCCAAATAAACAAAAGAGAAAAATATAAAAGACAATGCTATTTTGCATCAATATTCATCAGGAATATTGGCCTGCAGTTTTCTGTTTTTTGATATGTTTTTGTCTGGTTTTGGTATCAGGGTAATACTGGCCTCAGAGAATGAGTTTGAAAATATCCCCTCCTCCTCTGTTTTTCTGAATATTTTGTGTAGGGTTGGTATTAGTTCTTCTTTAAATGTTTGCTAAAATTTAGCATTGAAGATATTGGGTCCTTTGCTTGTTTTTGCTGGGATACTTCTTATGACTTCAATCTCATTACTTGTTATTGTCTATTCAGGTTTTGGATTACTTCATGGATCGATCTTTGTAGGTTGTATGAGTCTAGGAATTTACCTGTTTCTTCTAGGTTTTCTAATGTATTGGCATATGGTCGCTCATAGTAGTCTCAAATGACCCTTTGAATTCCTGTGGTTTCAGTTTTAATGTCTCCTTTTTCATCTCTGATTTTATTTATTTGGGTCTCTTCTATTTTTCTCAGGTTAAATCTTTTGTTTACTTTAAAAAAACAATGTGTTTTGTTGATCTTTTATATTTTTTCTTTCAAATTTATTAATTTCTGCTCTGATCTTTATTTCTTTTATTCTATTAATTTTGAGTTTGTTTTGCTCTTGCTTTTCTAGTACTTTTAGGTGCATCATTAGTTTCTTTGAAGTTTTTCTACTTCTCTTATGTAGGCAAACATTTATATAAACCACCTTAGTAGTGCTTTTGTTGTATCCCATAGGTTTTTGCATGCTGTGTTTCCATTTTCATTTGTTTCAAGGAAATTTTAAATTTTGTACTTACTTTGTTCATCGACCCACTGGTCCTTCATACTTTTAAACTTTTTGTTTTCTATTTATATCTTATTGCACGATGTCTGGAAAAGTTGTATAGTTATTATTTTTGATAGTTTCATCTTTTAGTATTTATTCTCACGATACGAGTTCATATGACACAGTTGCAGTATTATAATATTCTATGTTTGTCTCTGTAGTTATTATTACCACTGAGTTTTGTACTCACTGGTAATATTTCTTATTGTTTGTTAACATTCTTTTCTTTTAGATTGAAAGACTCCCTTTAGCCTTTCTTGTAGGACAAGACTGGTGTTGATAAAATCCCTCAGCTTTTGTTTTTCTGAGAAAGTCTTTATTTCTACTTCACGTGTGAAGTCTATTTTCACTGAATATACTATTCTAGGATTTTGTTTTTCCTTTAGCACTTTAAATATGTCATGCCACTCTCTTCTGGCCTGTAAGGTTTCCACTGACAAGTCTGCTGCCAGATGTACTAGAGCTCTATTTTATGTTATTTCTTTTTTCTTGCTACTTTTAGGACACTTTCTTTATCTTTGACTTTTGGGAGTTTGAATATTAAATGCCTTGAGGTAATCTTCTTTTGGGTTAAATCTGCTTGGTGTTCTATAACTTTCTTATACTTGAATGTTGATATCTTTCTCCAGGTTTGAAAGTTCTCTGATATCCTTTTATATAAACTTTCTACCCCTATCTCTTTCTCTACCTCCTCCTTAAGGCCAATGACTCTTAGATTTGCACTTTCGAGGCTATTTTCTAGATATTGTAGGTGTGCTTCATTAATTCTTTTTTCCTTTGTCTGCTCTCACTGTGTATTTTGAAATAGCCTGTTTCCCAACTCACTAATTCTTTTGTCTGCTTGATCTACTCTGCTGTTGAGATACTCTAATGGAGTCTTCAGTATGTTAAAGTTTCAGCTCCAGAATTTCTGCTTAATTTTTTAAAAAATATTTCAATTTCTTTGTTAAATTTATCTGATAGAATTCTGAATTTCCTATCAAATGTATGGGTTTTTGTTTGTTTGTTTTTAGATGGAATCTTGCTCTGTTGCCCAGGCTGGAGTGCAGTGGTGCAATCTCAGCTCACTGCAACCTCTGCCTCCTGGGTTCAAGTGATTCTCCTATCTCAGCCTCCTGAGTAACTGGGATTACAGGCATGCACCACCACACCCGGCTTTTTTTTTTTGTACTTTTAGTAGAGATGGGATTTCACCAAGTTGGCCAGGCTGGTCTTGAACTCCTGACCTCAAGTGATCCTCCTGCCTTGGCGTCCCAAAGTGCTGGGATTACAGGCATGAACCACCATGCCTGGCCTCTTGTGTTATCTTCAATTTCATTGAGCTTCCTCAAAATAGCTATTTTCAATTTTCTGCCTGAAAGGTGACATACCTCTGTCTCTACAGGATTGGTCTCTGGTTCCTTATTTACTTCATTTGGTGAGGCCGTGCTTTCCTGGATTGTCTTGATGCTTGTGGATATTTGTAGACATCTGGTCATTGACAAATTAGATATTTGTTGTTGACTTCACAACAGGGGTTTATTTGTACCCATCCTTCTTGGATGGCTTTCCATGTACTCAAAGGAAATTCAGTGTTTTTATCTAAGTCTTTGGTCACCGCAGTCATATCTTATTAGGGGGCACCTCAAGCCCAGTGATGCTATGACTCTTGCAGACTTGTAGAGGTACCACCTTGGTGGTCTTGACTGAGATCCAGGATAATTCTCTGGAATGTCAAGCAGATAAACTTTTTCTCTTCCATTACTTTTTCCAAAACAAATGGAGTATCTCTTTGTGCTGTCTGGGGCTGGGGTGGGGGTGGTGACATAGCACCCCTGTGACCACCACCACTGGGACTGCATGGGTCAGACCTGAAGCCAGCATAGCACTGTTTCATCCAAGGGCCATGGTGACAGCTGCCTGTCTACCGCTGGTGTTCACTCAAGGCCCAGGGGCTCTTTTGTCAGCAGGTGGCAAATCCAGCCAGGCTGGTGTCCTCTCCTTCAGGGAGGTCAGATCCTCACTGACCCCAGAGTAGATCAGTGCTATCTGGGAGCCTAGGCTTGGAGTTGGGAACCTTAGGTATCTCCTTGGTTCTCTATTCTACTATAGCTGAACTGGTACTCAAGCCACAAGACAAAGTCATTCCCACTATTCTCTCTTCCTTCCTGATGCAGGAATCTCTCCCAGTGGCCAAACTGCCCCAGGCCTGTGGTGAATACTGCCTGGTTACCAGTGATGTTCACTAAAGGCCCAAAGGCTCTTCAGTCACCTTGTGGTGTATGCTGCCAGGCCTTGGTCTCTTCCTTCAGGACAGTTGCCTCCCCTCTGGCCCACTGTCAATATATGCCATCCAGAAGCCAAGGCCTGGAATCAGGGACCTCAGAAACCCACGTGATGCTCTACTTCACTGTGTGGCTGAGCTGGTGCCCAGGCAGTAAAACAAAATCCTCTTTATTCTTTCCTCTCCTTTCCTCAAGCAGAAGGAGTTTTTCCCCATGGCCACCAGAGCTGGAATGTGCTGGGTCACACATGAAACCAGCACAGGCCTGCATCTGACCCAAGGTCTGTAGCAAGTACAACCTGGGTACTGCTGATGCTTATTTATGGCACAAGGGATCCTTAATTGAAGGTGATAAATCCTATCAGGACTTGGTCCTTCTATTCAAGGAAGGTGGTTAATTTCTGATCCTTGATATGTCTAGAATTGTTGTCTAAGAGCTAGGGCCTGGAATGTGGGCCTCAGGACTCTGGCTGGTGCCACATTCTACTGTGGCTGAGCTGGTATCCAAGGTACAAGACAAAGCCCTCTTTTTCTTTTTTTTTTGTAATGAACTCACATTTTATTTAACTTCTTGCTCATTTTTAATCCCAAATAAGTTTAGGGAATTCCTATTTATTTATTTTTCTTTTTTTTTCTTTTTTTAAATATTTTTTTTCATTATACTTTAAGTTCTAGGGTACATGTGCACAACGTGGTGGGACTGTAAACTAGTTCAACCACTGTGGAAGACAGTGTGGCGATTCCTCAGGGATTTAGAACTAGAAATACCATTTGACCCAGCCATCCCATTACTGGGTATATACCCAAAGGACTATAAATCATGCTGCTATAAAGACACATGCACACGTATGTTTATTGCGGCACTATTCACAATAGCAAAGACTTGGAACCAACCCAAATGTCCAACAATGATAGACTGGATTAAGAAAATGTGCCAAAGCCCCCTTCACTCTTCCTTCTTCTAGTCTTGAGTGGAAGGAAGGAGTCTCTCCTGAAGCTGTGAGCTGCATTGCCGAAGGTTGGGGGAGGGGTGACACAAGCACTCCCTTGGTCTCCCCAGCTTGTGTCTCACTAGGTCACATGCACCCCAAGTCCACTGGCTCTGAGCCCAGCACAGCAAGAGAACTGGGCTAGGAATTGTAGTCCTTGTACCCTAGATTACCTTTCAAGTTTATTTAGGACCCCAGCATGCTTCAGCCCATGGTGGTGTGGCTAGCTGTAATTCAAGCTCCAACCACTAGGATAGAGGATTCCCTTACAGCTATGACAGAATTGAATTCTACCCATGCTCCCTGGGCACCTGCAGAATTCAATTCTGTGTAACTTTTCTCTGTGACAGGGCAGCACTGGGTTATAATGAAAAGTCCCACAATCATTGTGCTCTCTTTCCCCTAAGCACACAGATTCTCTCTCCTCTCTTAGTGGCCAGTGTCAGGGGCTGGGGGAAGGGTGGTGTTGGCAATTTAAGACTTTTTCTTTTACTCTTTTCAGTGCCTCTTTCCTTGATGTAATGTTAAAACTAGGTACTCTGATTACTCACTTGGTTTTGGGGTTTTATGAAGGTGCTTTCTTGTGTGGGTGGTTGTTTAATCTTGTGTTCCAGCAGGGGGAACAATTACTGGAGGGTTCCTTTTGGCCATCTTGCTCCACCTCTTCCAGGTTGAATATGTTTCTTTTTCTTTAATGCCATGTGATTAAATAGCGATGATAGAGAGACAGATGATGATGTGTGAAAGAGCTGAAATTCTCATCTACGATTATAGGAAATCAATGAACAATGTGAAAAATAATGAACCCAAGCTATCATACTTTCTTCTTTTAAGAATGTAGAGGTAACTATCTGTATAAAGAGTTAATGAAAACATCAGTGATTGCCTCTAGGGAGTAAAATGTGGGGTGGGGGCGGTTAAAGGGAAGAAAAAGCCAAGCATTTATAACAATAAAAATAAACGCTTTTTAGCATGATTTAATACTATAAACTAAAAATAAGTAAGTATAATTTATTGTGCACATTGTTTCAGAAAATATTTTAAGCATTTTACATGTGTAATCTAATTTAATACTCACAGAAAAGCAATGAGTTACGTATTATTTGTTACCTCCATTTCACAGACGAATAAATTAAATCATATAGAAGTTGTTACTGCCTAAAGTCACACGGTGTTGGTTAGTGGTGGTGTCAGTGTTTATTAGATCATAAAAGCATAAGTGGTCAGACTCCAGAAACTTTATTAAGTGTCATTCCATGCTTTGATAAAAACATAGAATATTTTATATTTTTTAATTCATTTACTTATTTAATTAACTTCTTTATTTATGAGACAGAGTCTTGCTCCATTCCACAGGCTGGAGTGTAGTGGTGCAATCATAGCTCACTGCAGCCTCAAACTCCTGGGCTGAAATGATTCTCCCATCACAGCCTCCTGAGTAGCTAGGTCTACAGGTTTGTGCCACCATGCCTAGCTATCATGATATATATTTTGAAGAGGAGCCACATCAGGAGAAAGATGGGGCAATAGTCACAGTGGGAATTAAGAAAATATTTGCTTTTTTTGTCCTTGAGTTTTTTGTGTGGTTATGGGAGTAATTTGGGATGGGAGAGTGATGAGAGAAAGAAACAGTTAGAGACTCAGATCAATTGAACCATACAAATGGTAAAGGAGTATGTACACATCACTGAGAGGAGATAAGCAAGGTAGATGTGCCTCCGAGTGGTGAGAAACTCAAACTAAAAACAGAGGTTATGTATAGGTGTTCCATCTGACAATCACAGCTGAGTTTCCAGCTGACAAATGGCACCAACTAACTATCAGCCATGTAAGTAAATAATCTTGGACATCCAGCTTAGTCTAGCCTTCATATGTTTCCTGTCCCAGCAACAGTTCTTTTTTTAAAAAAAATTTCTCTTATTTTATTAGTTTCAAATTGCTAAATGGATTTTCCAACCACCTCAGATCCCTTAATGTTTGCAAATGGACTAGAAATGGGAGTGGAAGAAGAGAAGCCTGCCAGGTTTCAGAGTCTAATCCAGTTTCACAATTCACTTATAATCTGATACCCATCTATCTCTTTTTGGCACTCAAAAGCCCAGGTCTTTCCTGGAAGCAGCAAGGCACCTCATTACCTACGAGGGACCACACATAGATCTGCTAAGCTAGGTGTTGAGAACCACTGAATCAGAAATAAAAAAAGAATTTGGGCCAAAAGCAGTCAGCACCCACAGGGAACACAGGCACAGCTCATACATGAGCAGCCAGAATATGACAGCCATGAAGAATCCAATATTAGAGGCAAATGACCCAGTTACATCATCTTATATGGCATTTCTTCTGTTATTCCATTTAAAAATGAGATATAATTTATAAACCCCTATTTAGAGTATATAATGTATTTGTATTATATTCACAGAATCCTGCCACAATCACTACAATCTAATTTGAGAATACACTCATCACTCCCTAAGAAATCTTATACACACTAGCAATCACTCCCCATTCCTCCCTCCATGCTAAGCTTCAGAAAACCACTAATCTACTTTCTATCTCTATAAATTTACATATTGTGGACATTTCCTAGAAAAGGAATAACACTATATGAGGTCTTTTGTGATTTACTTCTGTTACTCAACATTTTCAACGTTCATTTATGTTGTAGCATGTATCAATACTACATTTATTTTGATGGCTGAATAATATTCCAATGTATGAATATACCAAATTTTGTTTACTCCTTCATCAGTTGATTGACATCTGGATTGTTTCCATTATTTGGCTACTGTGAATATTTTGCCATGAATGTCTGTGTAAGTTTAGGTTTAAACACTTGTTTTTAATTATTTTTGCTGTATCACTTGGAGTGGAATGGTACCTTTAACATTTTGGGGAACTGCCAAACTGTTTTCCAAAGCAGATGAACTATTTTATGTTTCCACAAACAATGTATACGTGTTCAGATTTCTCTTCATTTTCACCAACACTTGTCCTTACATGTCTTTTTCATCATAGCCATCCAAGGGGGTATGAAGTTGCATTTAATGGTTTCCAATGAATTCTCTACTTAAAAATGATGTTACAGATCATTTCATGCACTTACTGGCCATTTGTATACCTGTTTTAGAGAAATATCTATTCATATATGTTGTCATTTTTAATTATTTGTTCTTTTAATATAGAGTTGTAAAATTTTTTACAGGGTCTAGATACAAATCCTCTATCTGATATATAATTTGCATTTTTCCCATTCGGTGGGTTGTCATTTGACTTTCTTCATTGTGATTTTTTTTAAACATAGAAGTTTTAAAATTTGATGAAGATTAATTAAGCTATTCTCTCTTCTGTTTTGCTTTTGGTGTCATTCTCTAAAACAAGGTCATGGACATTTACACTTATTTTCTCTTAAAAGTTTTTTCTTTCTTTCTTTTTTTTTAGACGGAGTCTCGCTCTGTCGTCAGGCTGTAGAGTGCAGTGGCGCGATCTCAGCTCACTGCCACCTCTGCCTCCCAGGTTCAAGCAATTCTCCTGCTTCAGCCTCCCAAGTAGCTGGGACTGCAGGAGCGCGCCACCACGCCCAGCTAATTTTTTTTTTTTTTTTTTTTTTTTTTTAGTAGAGACAGAGTTTCACCATGTTGGCTAGGATGGTCTCCATCTCTTGACATGATCCGCCCGCCTCGGCATGCCAAACTGCTGGGATTACAGGCATGAGCCACCGTGCCCGGCCAAGAGTTTTATAGTTTTAGTTCTTATATTTCAGTCCCTGATTCTTTTAGAGTTAATTTTTGCATATGAGGTGAGGCAAGTATGCAAATTCACTAATTTGCCTGTGAATATACAATTGTCCCAGCAGCATTAATTAAAACAAAGTTCATTTCTACTTTAATTGTCTTGTTCCCTTATCAAGTTCCATTGGCCAAAATGTGAGGACTTATTTCTGGACTCTCAATTCAATTCCAGTGGCATATATGCCTACATGTACACCACTGCCACTCTCCCTTGATTATAATAGCATTGTAATAAGATGTTAAATTGGAATCTATGAGTCCTTCAACTTGTTTTTCTTTTTAAAAGATTAGTTTAACTACTTTGGATCCCATGTGATTCCACATTAATTTTAGGATGAACAGTTCAATTTTTGCAAAAAATTGAGGTTAGCATTTTTGATAGGGGTTGCATTGATTGCTGTAGATCAATTGTTGTGTACCATTTTGGCAAATATTGCCATTCTAATAATATCAAGTCTGCCAATTCAAGAAGATGGTATGTCTTTTTTTAATTTAGATCAAGCTTGCCCAACCCTTGGCCCAGGGTCACATGCAGCCCAGGATGGCTTTGAATGTGACCCAACACAAGCACCTAAACTTTCTTAAAACATTATGAGATTGTTTTTCCTATTTCTTTTTTTTAGCTCATCAGTTATCATTAGTGTTAGTGTATATTATGTGTGACCCAAGACAATTCTTCTTCCTCCAATGTGGCTCAGGGAAGCCAAAAGATTGGACACTCTTGATTTAGATCTTCCATAGTTTCTTTCAGCAATGTCTTGTAATATTTACTGTACAAATCTTATACTATTATGGTTAAATTTATTCCTAAATATTTCATCATTTTTGAGGATAATGTAAACCAAACCATTTTTAATCTCATTTTCACTTTTTTTACTGCTAGTGCTTAGAAATAAAATTTATTTTTATACATTGATCTTGTAACCTATAACTTTGAAGAAGTTATTTATTAGTTCTAACAGGTTTTTAGTGGATTCTTTAGGATTTTCTATATATAATATAATGTCTTCTGCAAATAGAGTTTTACTTCTTCTTTTTCAAACTTGATGCTTTTTATTGTTTTCTTGCCAAATCACCCTTGCTAGGATGTTTAGTACAATGTTAAATAAATGTTTTAGGAGTGATGTCCACTCACGTCATTTTTTGTCCTCTATTCTATTGATATGGTGTATTACATTGATTGACTATTGAATTTTTAACCATACTTGCATTCCTGAAATCTGGGATAAATCCTCCTTGTATATGTATATATGTGTGTATGTATATATAAAACATGTAATATATGGATATAAATATACATATATGCATACACATACACACACATTAAAGCATGTCTATATGTCTTTGCTTTCTTTTCTATACATTGGATTAGTTTTGTAGTATTTAGTTGTTTAGAATATTTGAATCTATATTCGTAAGGCATATGACCTATAACTTTTTCTTTAGTGATGTTCTTGTTTGCTTTTGGTATCAGAATAAAGCTAGCATTATAGAGTAAGTTGGGAAGTATTCCCACTTCTGTATTTTGGAAGACTTTCTAAAGGATTGGAATTAATCATTCTCTAAATGTCTGATAGAAATGATCAGTGAAGTCATCTGGGCCTGGGCTTTACTTTATATGTAGGTTATCTAGTTATTAATTCCATCTTTTCCATTGTTATTGGTCAATTCAAATTTTCTTTCTCTTTTTGAGTCAACTCCAGTTGTTCGTGTTGTTTTAAAGTATTTATCCATTTTATATGTCATGTTAGTTTACATATGTTTCTTCATAATATTCCCTAATAAGTTTTGTTTTTGCTTTTATGAGATTGATAGTTATGTCCTCTCTTTTTGTGATTTTGATAGTCTTCTGTTTTTGTCAGCCTACCAAAAGATTTGCCAATTTTGTTGATATTTCCAAAGAACAAACTTTGGCTTGCTGATTTTGCTCTCTCTATTCTACACTTCATCTGTGTCTACTCCTTTCTCTATTATGTTCTTTCATATGATTGCTTTGGATTCAGTTTACTGTTGTTTTTCCTGTATCTTATATTGGAACATTTGGTTACTGATTTGAGATTTTTCTCTTGTTAATAAAGGTATTTGTAGGCATAAAAATTATTTCAGCATTGCTTTAGTTGAATTCCATAAGTTGAGTTATGTTGTGTTTTCATTTCTGTTCCCCTCAAAGTTGTTTTTTTTTCTAATTTCCTTTGAGATATTTTCTCTGACCTATTGGTTATTTGGGCACGTGGTTTTTAATTTACACATATTTGTGAGTTTCTAAAATTTTCCTTGTGCTATTCTAATCTAATTCCATTGTGGTTAGAGAACATATTTTATATGATTTCAATTATTTTAAATTCATGAAGGTTTACATTGTGATATAGTATACTGTCTATCATGCAAATATTTCATGTAGTTTTTAGAAGACTGTGTATTCTGTTATTCATGGGCATAGTGTTTTATTAAGGTCTATTGGGTCAAGTTCATTTATACTATTTTTTATCCTTGTTGATATTCTGCCTAGTTGTTGTATCTATTATCAATAGTGGGATATTGAAGTTTCCAACTACTATTATTGAATTTTCTTATTTCTGCTTTCACTTCTGCCATTTTTGTTTCATGTATTTTCCAGTTCTATTCTTAGGTACACACAATCTTATAATTATTTCTTGCTCATAGACAAAACTTTTATAATTCTAAAATGTTCTTATATAGGGAAATTGTTTTCATTTTAAAGTCTATTTTATGTTAGTACAGACACTCCAGTTCTCTTATGATTCCAATTAGTATGTTATGTTTTTTCCCATAATTTTTAAAATCTATTTATAATTTGAATCTATAATGTGTCTTCCACATATATTATATATATGAATCGTTTTAAAAAAATCCAGTATGATAATCTGCCTTTACATTGAACTGTTCAATCTGTTTATCTTTGATGTTATTATTAATATGACTTGATTGGCATTTGTCATTTTGTTTTATTTCTTCTACATTTCTCATGTCCTTTTCTTGTTTTTTTTCTTTTCTGTTTTCATTTTCATTAAATGAATACTTTCTAGTATAACATTTTCATTCCTGTAATATTTTAACAAGAGCTTCTTAGTTATTTATAAATAGTTGCTCTAGGGCTTACATTATGCATCTTACCTTCTCAGAATTAACTTCAAATCTATACTAAATTAAATGGAATATAGAATCTTTACCACTATATAGCTCTATTGTTTTCTGCCCATTTTGTGAATTCATTGCTATAAACATGTCATATATGTATGTGCATATATATATGAAACCTGACAATATATTGTTATATTTACTATTGAATATGTTTTTATATATTTTTAAGGAAGCTAAGATAAGAGAGAAGAACAAGTATATATTTACAAGGCTTCTTACATAATTTTTCTTATTTACACTATCTGGTTCTCTTTATTCCTATAGATCGAAGTTACCATTTAACGTCAAGTAGGAAAATAGTTTTTCCTACCTTCTGCTTTTGTTCCGTTACTGTCAAATATATTACATTTCTATATTGGTCTCACAATACAATTATCACATTTTATAAAATTGCTTTTTACATATGTTAAGAGAGAAAAATGAATATACATTTATATTTTATTTTAACATTGCCTGTGTAACTGCCAACATCAACACTCTTTTTTTTAATGTCGATTCAAATTACTGTATGATGTTCCTTGGTTTTAGCATGAAAAGCTTCCTTTAGTACCTCCTGTGAGAAGAGTCTTTTAGCCACAAATTATTTGATAGTTTTGTTTCTATATTTTTGTAAGATAGTTTTGCTGGATATAAGATTCTTGGATGACAGATGTTTTTCTTTTATTGCCTTTCATTCTTCTGTAATGTCATCCCCCTGACTTCTGGCAGCCATTTTTTTTATGAAAAGCCACCTATTAATCTTATTGCGGTTCACTTGTATATGATGAGGTTTTTTTTTTTTTTTTTTTTGTTTTTTTTGTTTTTTTTTTTTTTTGCTGCTTTCAAGGTTTTGTTTTATCTGTGAGTTTCAACATGTTGACTATGATACTTCTAGGTATGGATCCTGTGTTTATTCCAGGTGGATTTTTTTAAGTTTAAAAAAATATTTTAATGTTTTTCATCAAGTTTGGAAATTTTCAGTTATTATTTGAACACTTTTAATGCTTTTTAAAATCTTTCCTTTTGGTACTCCCACTGCAAGTATATTGTTGTGCTTAATGAGGTCCCATATTTGTCTGAGCTGTTAATTAGTTTAATTGTTTTCTCTCTGTTCTTCAGTTTGCATAATCTCTATTGATTTACCTTGAAATTTACTAATTCTTTCCTTTGTCAGTTCAGGCCTACTGTTAAGCCCTACTAGTCAATGTCATTTTCATTATTGTACCTTCTAACTCAAGAATTTCCTTCTGATTCTTTAAAAAATAAGGTCTCTTTTTCTTGATATTATTCAACAAGACATTGTTACCATACTGTTCTTCAATTTTTTAAAGTACATTATTTCCCTTTGTTTTTTAAACTTATTTATAGCATTTTCTTTGAAGCTTTGTCTGAGAAGACTAACATCTGTGTACCCTCAAAGGCAGATATTATTGCCTTATTTCAATTTTGATTATGGGTCTGATTTTTATATTTCTGTGCATGTTTCATAATATTTTATTGAAAGTGGATATTTTAGATAGTATATTATGTCAACTTTGGATATAAAATTCTGCAAGGCTACTTATTGCTGGTGTTTATTTCTTTGTTGACATGGCTGGGCTACTTCAATGAAGTATCTTTCTCCTGAAGTGTACAACCTTGATATGGTCCTCAGAAGGTCACACTTTGGCATGCAAACAATTTTCCTGACCTTCAGGGATGAGTCTGGCTTTAGCTGGACTTTGACTCTCTCTTTTCTTGATCTTCCCATTAAGCTTATGGTTGATTTACTGTATTGTTATCCCACTGAGATATTAGCCTTCTCCAACTGCTAACTCATGGGTTTATTATTTTCAACAATATTCTCAGACATTACTTGCTCCACATTGATACCCAGCCTCTTGGCAGGAGCTTGGTGTAAGGCTTGCTCTAACCTTCTCCTAGGCAGATCTCTTTGCTATGGAGCAGGAGTTAGGTGGGAAAAACTTGCTTTTCACCAGGCATTCCCTCAGGATTCCCCATATAAAGCAAGCACTGGGCAGGGGGAGGGGGAGTAGGTAGGCGGATCAATGTTGCTCTCTGGTTGCTGCCACCACCCAGTATGGAACTTCCACAGCCCAGAATCTAAGAGAACTGAATATTCTGATTTTGACCAGCTGCTGAATCTACCTGGAATAGTTCTTTAATTATAGGCAACTGGTGGGGATGGGAGCTGCCACCTGCCTAGCAAGCCCTCTGGAGCTCTCCTGATTAACAGAGCTATGTAGGTAATGGGTCTTCTTTCCTCACCTGCTCCTTGGCCTGGATCCATCCTACAGAGCAAGAGTTGCAGACGGGGAATTGAGAGCTACGCTGCTGCTACTAGCCACATGATAGAACTCTTCTACAGCATAGGGTTGTAAAAACAGAATCTGCTAATGTTCACTGGTTACTGAAACTACTCTGAATGGCTCTTCCACCTCAGGATATTGGGGAGATTGGGACTGCCACTCAGTCACCAAGTCAGGGAGTTATAATAATAGTCATTAGATCAAACGGCAGGATCTCTCACAGTTCTTACATAGTTTGAATTTCATTTAATAAATTATTCTCAGTTTGTTGCTAGCCTTTTGATGAATCTCCAGAGGCTTTGAGTAATTGATTTTGATAATTGTTACCAGCTTAATACATGTCTTTTCAGGGCAGAGTTTTCTCTAAGCTTCTTTCCCTACCCTTCCAGAAGAACCACTATTGAGTACAACTACCAAGTTATCCTAGTTAGAACAACCTAGCTAAGCCTAGTCAACACACATAACAGTTAGAGATAATAAAAAATTATTGTTTTAAACAGCTAATTTTGGGGTGGTGTCTTATCCAGTGATAGATAACCAAAACATGTTTCCGGATCTATTTCAATTTTTTTTTAATTGCCTGTTGTGGGATATATGAGTCAAGGCTGTTAATCTTTACTGAGAAAAGGGAAGATAATTATTTTGAACACATAAACATATTTGTAAAAGTAAGTATGTTCACACATTTTTGGAAGTGACATACAATATCCTATCATGACTAGGATTCCTTAAACATCTTTTCTAGTATAAAAAATGTGAAGATGAAAGATATTTATAATCTTGTTCTAAACAACACACTCCAGGTTGCTTTTGGGATCAATCATATGAAGTGCCAGAATTCTTCAGAATAGCTATCATTCTTTATTTTCTATCCATTTTGTCTCATCCATTATAACAAGGGGCACAGTGACAGTCCTTCTATTTCAAAAAAATAAAAAGAAAGGAAAAAAGAAAAATAAGAAGTCCTTGACATTTTTTTTGACATGGGTCTCATGAATTTTCTTCTCATTATATTATGCAGTTTTCAAGGCTTTGTAAATAGAATTTTCCATGTATAACTGCCTACCACTTTAAAAAGGTACACATAGACTTTAACTGCCTATCAAATGTGAATGAACTCCAACTTGGCAGAAAATAGCTAATATATTCAACTTGAATGCCATCCTTTACCAATACTTTTAAATCCCTGCAAATCTCAATTTAAGTCAGGCAGTATTAAATTAAAATACTCTTTGGTAATTCTGAAAACAACAATACTTGTTGAAAATATTTAAAATGTTATGCACATATTTTCTATAAGAAAATTTCTGATGTGAAGAAGACATTTTGTGTTTTTTTCTGATGTTATATTTTTCCTTTGAAGTAAATCAAGAGCTGGCAGTTGTGCTCTTAGTGAGTTTGCTAGCAAGTCAGGGAACAAGATTAAAAAAAAAAAACAGTGAAAATTTTAGATATTTATTTGGAGTATAGTTTCCAGTTCAATATCTCCTGCTTCTTTAACTATATAGCTTTACTAAAGAGAAAAAAATATATGCTTTGGTATATCTGTGCCAAGTTAGCTATATCTACATATGGGTAACTAAGGGAAATGGTTAACTTTAAAATGGAGATGAAATATAACCAAAGTATGTCATTTAAGTGATGATAAACTATAATTTATGAATTACCTAAGAATATGACAGTTTTCAAAAATCTCTTTCAATACCATTATAAAGTATAATACCTATTTGGCCAAGGTGGCTGACCAGAAGCAGCTAGTGTGAGTCACTCTCACAGACAGGAGAGAGAGTGGTGCATAAGCACTAGCTCTTCAAGTGGATTGTACAGGAGTCCACACTGGGATTCATCAAGGAAGGAACAACAGCCCACGGAGAGCAGAAAGGAGACAGGCAGGACAGCCATCTACCAGGGATTAGCATGGAGCCAAAGGAGGCTCCCTACCACAGGGAAAGGGTAAGTGACTGCCCTCAATCTGGGGAGGGAGTGAAGGGCGCATGAACTGTGGCATGCGTCCAGCATGTCACAGCTGCTATACAGAAAGCAGCCAGACTGCTTCTCACTTGGCAAGGCCTCCCAAGTGAGTTTCCAGTGCGGCCACCCTACTCCCACCTGATTACTTCAGTCACTGGAAGCTCTGTGTTTCTTTGGGGTAGAATTCCCAGAGACAACCAACAGGCTCTCTGCCATTGCCGTTGTATTGACACCTGCCCTTGATGTACTTGGCCTGAAGAGCAAACAAAAACCCCAATTGCTTTGCTCACCCCTCCAGCGTGTGGCAGCTACTATAATGTAGAGGAAGCCAGTTTCTCTTCCCTGTGAACCCTTGGACCCCCTCCTCTTCACCAGGCAGGGCCCCCAGCTTGGGCCCATAGCAAAGCTACTCTATCCCTGGCTGAACATTCCCGTTTGCAGTGGCTCTGTCTCTCTTGAGTAGAAATCCCACAGACAACTTACAGCCCCTCTGCCTTGACCATTGCCATGGTACATGCCCTTGCTGCCCTTGGGCTGGGGAGTAAAGACCCTGATTACTTTGCTTGCACCTCCAGCATGCTGCAGCTGTCCTGCAGACAGGAGGCCAGAGTGTCTCACCCATGAGCTTCCCACTCCCCTGCTCTTCACAATGTAGGGACTCCTCGCTTAGACCTGTAATGTGCCACTCCATCCCCAGCTGATCATTCCAATTAGCAGTGGCTCCGCATTTCTCTGGGGTGGAGTTCCCAATAACAAGTGAAAGGCTTTCAGCCATTGTCGTTGCCAAAGTCTCTGCTCCTGCTGCCTACAAGCTGGGGAATGAACAAAAAGCCTGAGCTCACCCCATAGCTGCAGTACACAACTCAGAAATGCCAAGTTGAGATCTGTGGCCAGCACTCCAGCGGGAGAGGAGCCTATACTCTCAGAGCACTAAGAGGGAGCATGGCTGCAAACGTGAGGGAATAGAGAGGAGCCATATGGCTGAGAAGAGCGTATCTGCCAGCCATTATGCTTGAGCGTCATCTACTGAATTGCAGCCCAAACTATAACACCAAAAATACTTTGCTAATATACTCCCCTGTGAAACCAAGGGCAAGAATTTAGCCACAAAAATCCTGCACAATGGCTTGGCCCTCTGAAAACATCCAGAAATAAAGCCAACTGACTATACTCAAATTATACAACAGTTAAAGGAACATCAGCCCACAGAGAAGAGAAAGGACCAGTGCAATAACTCTGGCAACTCTAAAAGCTAGAGTGTCTTCTTATCTACAAGTGACCATACTAGTTTCCCAGTAGTGGTTCTGAACCATAATGAAACAGCTGAAACAATGCACATAGATTTCAGAATCTAGATGGCAATTAAGAATATCAATATTCAGGAGAAAGGTGAAACCCAATCCAAGAAATCTAAGGAATCTAGTAAAATGATTCAAAAGCTGAAAGACAAAATAACCATTTTAATAAAGAACCACACTGATCTGATAGAGCTAAAAAACTCACTTCGAGAATTTTATTACGTAATTGGAGGTAGTAACAGCACAACAGGCCAAGATGAGGAAAGAACCTCAGAGTTCAAACACTGGTTCTTCAAATCAACTCAGTCAGAAAAAAAATTTTTTTAAATTTAAAAAATGAACAAAACCCCTGAGAAATATGAGATTATGTAAACAGACCAAAACTATGACCCACTGGCATACCTGAAAAAGAGGAAAAGATAGCAAGCAACTTAGAACACATATCTGAGGATACCGTCCACAAAAATTTCCTCAACCTTGCTAGAGAGGTCTACATTCAAATTCAGGAAATTCAGAGAACAGCTGTAAGATACTATGCAAGACAACCATCCCCAAGATACATAGTCATCATATTGTCTAAGGTCAATGCAAAAGAAAATTTATTAAAGGCAGGTACAGAGAAAGGGCAGTTCATCTACAAAGAGAACGCCATCAGGTTAACAGAGAACTTTTCAGCAGAAACTCTACATGCCCGAAGAGACTGGTGGGACTATATTCAGTACTCCTAAGGAAAAAAATTCCAACAAAGAATTTTGTATTCAACCTGAAGCTTCATAAGCAAAGATAAATGAAATCCTTTCCAGACAAGCAAATGCTATGAGAATTCATTACCACTAGACCTGCCTTATAAGAGCTTTTTAAGGGAGTGCTAAACATGGAAATGAAAGACTGTTAATGGCCACCACAAAAATGCACTTATATACATAGACCACTGATACTATAAAGCAACTACACAATCATGTTTACATAATAACCAGCTAAAAACATGATCATGGGATCAAATCCACACTTATCAATATTAACAGGCTAAATGCCCCACTTAAAAGGCATAGAGTAGCAAGTTGGAGAAAGAAGCAAGACCCACCTGTATGCTATCTTCAAGAGCCCCATTTCACATGCAAAGACACCCATAGGCTCAAAGTAAAAGGATGGAGAAACATCTTTCAAACAAACGGAAACCATAAAAAAGCAGGGATTGCTATTTTTGTTTCAGAAAAAAACAGACTTCAGACCAACAATGATCAAAAAGGACAAAGAAAGACATTACAGTATGATAAAGTATTCAATTCACAAAGAAGACTTAACTATTTCAAATATATATGCACCCACCACCGGAGCACCTAGCTTCATAAAGCAAAATATCAGAGAGCTACAAAGAGAATGAGATGACCACACAATAATAGTGGAAGACTTCAACACCCCACTGACAGTATTAGATAGATCATACGCAGAAAATTAACAAACACATTTGGGAACTATACTCTACACTTGACCTGACAGGCATCTAAGGAACACTCTGCCCAACAAGAACAGAATGTGCATTTTTTCTCATTTGCACATGGCATATAATCTAAAATTAATGACACACTAAGCCCTAAAACAATTTTCAACAAATTCAAAAAAACTGAAATCATGCCAACCACACTCTTGGACCGCAGAAAAATAAAAACAGAAATCAATGAAAAGATTTCCCAATACCATACAATTACATGTAAATTAAATAATCTGTTCCTGAGTGACTTTTGAGTAAACAAAGGAATTAAGGCAGAAATCAAGAAATTCTGTGGAACTAAAGAAAACCAAGATACAATGTACCAGTATCTCTGGGACACAGATAAAGCAGTGTTAAAAGGAAAGTTTACAGCACCAAACGCCCACACCACAAACTTAGAAAGATCTCAAATTAACCATCTAACATCACACCCAGAAGAAACAGAAAAACAAGAGGAAATCAACCACAAAGCTAGCAGAAAAAAAGAAATAACCAAAATCAGAGCCTATTTGAGTGAAATGGAAATGACAAAAAGATACAAAAAATCAAGGAAACTAAAAATTGTATTTTTGAAAGACTAAATAAGATTGATACACCAGTAACTAGACTAATACAGAAAAAAAGAGAGAAGATCCAAATAAACACAATCATAAATCACAAGGAGGACACTAACACCAACCCTACAGAAATACAAAAGATTTCTCACAGACTATTATGAATATCTCTATGCACACAAAGTGGAAAGCCAGAAGAATTAGATAAATTCCTGGAAACATACAACCTCCCAAGATTGAACCAGGAAGAAAACAAAACCCTGAAGAGACATATAATGAGTTCTGAAATTGGATCAGTAATAAAAAAGCTACAATCAGAAAAAGCTGTAGACCAGTCAGATTCACAGCCAAATTTTACCATGTGTATAAAGCAGAGGATAACAATCTTACTGAAACTATCCAAAAAGTCAAGGAGTAGGGACTCTGCCCTCACTCATGAGAAAGCAGGCATTATTCTCATATCAATACTTGGCAGAATCACAGTGAGAATAAAAAATAAATAAATAAAAAACTTCAAGCCAATATCCCTATTGAACACAGATACAAAAATCCTCAATAAAATACTAGCAAATATCAAGCAGTATATCAAAACCTAATCCACCATGATTAAGTAGGCTTTATCCCTGGGTTGCAAGGTTGGTTCAACATATGCAAATCAAGAAATGTGATTCCTCACATAAACAGAACTAAAATGTAAAACCACATGATCATCTCAATAGATACAGAAAAAGCTTTTAATAAAATTCAACATTCCTGGGTGTTAAAAACCCTTAAAAAACTATGCACTGAAGGAATATGCATCAAAATAATAAGAGCCATCTATGAGAAACCCACAGTAAACCTCATACTGAATGGGCAAAAGTTGGCAACGTTCCCCTTGAGAACCAGAACAAGACAAGGATGCCCACTCTCATCACTTCTATTCAACATAATGCTGGAAGTCCTAGCAAAAGCAATCAGGTAAGAGAAAGATAAAAAGCATGCAAATAGGAAGAGAGAGAGAGTCAAACTATCCCTGTTTGCAGAAGATATGGTTCTATACCTAGAAAACCTCATAATTTCTGCCCAAAGGTTTTCACATCTTATAAACAACATCAGCAAAGTTTCAGGATACAAAGTCAATGTAGAAAAAATAGTAGCAAGCATTTCCATGCACCAATAATTTCCAAGCTGAGAACCAAATGAAGAACACAATTCATTCACAATTGCCACAAAAAGAATAAAATACTTAGAAACAGAGGTAACCAGGGAAGTGAAAGATCGCTGCAACAACGATTGAAAAACACTGCTGAACGGAATCAGCAATGACACAAACAAATGGAAAAACATTCCATACTCATAGGTGGGAGGGATCAATATTGTTAAAATGACCACAGTGCCCAAAGAAATTTACAGATTGAATGCTATTGCTATCAAACTACCAGTAACCTTTTTCATAGAATTATAAAAAAATTCTGAAAATCATATGGAAAAAAAGAGCTTAGCCAAAACAATCTTAAGCAAAAAGAACAAAGCTGGTTATATCACACTACCTGACTTCAAACTACACTACAAGGCTATAGTAATCAAAATGGCATGGTACTGGTACAATAACAGACATATAGACAAATGGAATAGGTTGGAGAACCAAGAAATAAGGCTGTACGCCTACAACCATCTGATCTTTGACAAAGCTGATAACAACAAGCAATGGGGAAAGGACTCCGTATTAAATAAGTGGTGCTGGGAAACCTAGCAAGCCATATGCTGAAGATTTAAATTAGATCTCCTTTCCCTTACCATATACAAAATGAACTCAAGATGGATTAAAGACTTACATGTAAAGCCTAAAAGTGTTAAGAACCCTAGAAAAATAGCTAGGAAATTCCATTTTGGACATTGGCCCAGGCAATGGTTTCATGATAGAGACTCCAAAAGCAATGCAACAAAACAAAAACTGACAAGTGGGACCAAATTAAACTAAAGGGCTCCTGCACAGCAAAAGAAACTATCAACAGAGTATACAGATAACCTACAGAATAGGAGAAAACATTTGTCAATGATGAATCTGATAAAGGTCTAATATCCAGAATCTATAAGGAACTTAAACAAATCAACAAGCAAAAAACAATCCCATTAGAAAATAGACAAAGGACATGAACACACACTTTTCAAAGGAAACCATACACATTGCCAACAAGCATATAAAAATGCTCAGCATCACTGATGATTAGAGAAATGAAAATCAAAACCACAATGAGAGAAAATCTTCACCAGTCAGAATGGCTATTTATTAAAAAGACAAAATAAAAACAGATGCTGGTGACTTTGCAAAGAAAAGAGAACTCTTATACATGGCTGGTGGAAATATAAATGAGTTCATCCACTGTGGAAATCTGGAGATTTCTCAAAGAACTTGAAACAGAAATACCATTTGACCTAGCAATCCCATTGCTGGGTATATATCTAAGGGATTATAAATCATTCTACTATAAAGATACATGCACATGTACATATATCACAACACTACTCACAATAGCAAAGACATGGAATCAACCTAAATGCCCATCAACAGTGGACTGAATAAATAAAATGTGGTACATACA
The DNA here is from genome assembly GCF_000001405.40 of Homo sapiens. Classification (NCBI taxonomy): domain Eukaryota; kingdom Metazoa; phylum Chordata; class Mammalia; order Primates; family Hominidae; genus Homo; species Homo sapiens. The sequence continues at coordinate 33,482,227 of NC_000023.11, forward strand.
CACCATGGAATACTATGTAGCTATAGACAAAGAACGGGCTCATGACCTTTGCAGCAACATAGATGCAGCTGGAGGACATTATCCTAAACAAATTAATACAGAAACAGAAAAACAAATACTGCTTCTTCTCACCTACAAGTGGGAGCTAATCATTTAGTACACATGGGCACAAAGTCAGGAAAAATAGACACCAGGGCCTATTTGAGCGTAGATGTTGGGAGGAGGGTGAGGTTCAAAAAACCACCTATTGAGTACTATCGAAAAACCACCTATTGAGTACCACATTCATTACCTGGGTGATGAAATAATCTGTACACCAAACCTCTGTGTCATGCAATTTACCCATGTAAGAAACCTGCACATATACCCCTGAACCTAAAATAAAAATTGTAATGGAAAATATGGACCTATTCAAACTTAGAAAAATATTATAATTAAATGGCTGTCAACATAAGAAACACTTAGCAGAGAGAAAATATTATGAAAATGATAACATCTCTGGTTACCTTATAGCATATTTTCCCTTTCTGCACTTTTCTATACTCAGTTTCATAAGTATAATAATAATTGTATAAATTAAAATTAATATGTCAAACTTACAAAGAAAAGTGTTGTGTTATAAAAACCATATGTTTTAAAAGTGCTATGGTATATTTTCTCTCTTAAGAAAATTTTGACTTCTTGCAGTTTTTTAATGGTAACCTTAATTAGAGAAAACCTGTTATTCAGTTAGGTAAGTATCCTCAATATTTCTGTAGAATCTCCAAAGTGGTAGGTTTTAAAATATACATTTCAGTATCAAAACCCCTCAAAACTACCATCAAATTTGTCAGATAAGCCTACAGCACAAACCCACCAAAGGCCCCCATAATGTAGAACAATAAGTTTAGAATATTTTCTTGAGTTTATTCAATGGACTACAAATTTAATTAATAGTTTAATAACTCCATAGTATTACATATTCCTTGAAAAAAATACATACATATATTTTAAACAAAAAATTGTATTTCAACTAAAATGTTTATAAAGATCACAATGTTCAAGTATAAAATTATGTGATACTGTCTAAAAATCATAACAAAAAAAAATTCCAGAAGCTAAAAAACTGAACACACATACTCTCCCCCAACTTTCAAATTTGTTGCTTTGGAAGCCCATATGCTAAAATCTCAGCAAGGAATGCATAGCAATCAGCAAATAGGTATGTGAATTCATAAATATGTTTTTTCCCACATTAGGAATCCTAAAAGGATGGGATTTTTAAAAACGATATTTGATTATTTATTTAGAGACAGAGTCTTGCTCTGTCTCCCAGGCTGGAGTGCAGTGGCATGATCTCGGCTCACTGCAACCTCCACCTCCCAGGTTTCAGCAATTCTCCCGCCTCAGCCTCCCGAGTAGCTGGGATTACAGGCGCACACCACCACACCCGGCTATATGCACCAACTTTCTTAAAAGCAGACTTTAAAAATCTGATTTTTAAGAAAAGACATATAACTTCAATTGGAGCTTCATTCTGGTTTTGTGCCCACTTTGTGATAGGTCCTAGAAGTACTAAAGATAATATATTCACTTTTAAATTTCATGAGAGAAGCCTGGGCAGGAAAAAAAAATAAAGTTAAGCAGAACATTTACAGATATTTTGCTTTCTGTTTTAAAAAGAGTTTAAAAAGGACACTCGTGGCCTCATATATTTACTTATTAATGTTAGATTAGAGATGGAGAAGATAAAAATGAATTAATCACAGATTATGGAAAAACACGAATAAGTCAGGTAATATAGTCAATATAATTTATAGAAAACTGCGCATTTTCCTTGGTGCTGCAAAACCTGGATATCCATATATAGAAGAATAAAACTAGACCCAAGTCTCTTACCATGAACAAAATTCAATTCAAAATAAATAAACATAGGACATGAAACTATAAAACTAGTAGAATAAAATACACAGAAAACACTTCAGAACGTTAGTCTAGGCGATGATTTTATAGCTAAGACCCCAAGAGCACAAGCAACTAAAACAAAAATAGACAAATGAGAATATATTAAAATAAAAATATTTTGCACAGTAAAGGAATCAATTAGATTGAAGATCCAACCTGTTCAATTATAGGGAATATTTGCAGAATAGTCATACAACAAGGAACTAATGTCCAGAATATACAAGTAACTCAAATGACTCAACAGTAAAATAAACAAACAAAAACTGAATACTCCTATTAAAAGGTTGGTAAAGGAGCTAAATAGACATTTATCTAAAGATATACAAATAGCCAAGAGGCATATGCAGAAATGCTCAACATCATTAATCATCAGGGAAATGCAAATCAAAAACACCATGAGATATCATCTTACTCCTGTTGGAATGGCTATTACTAAAAAGAGAAAAAATATCACAGATGATGGTGAGGATGCAAAAAGGAGACTCATATATTGTTGGTGGGAATGTAAATTAGTACAGCTAGTATGAAAAATAGTATGGAGATGTCTCAAAATAAGAAAAATTGAATTACCATGAAATCCAGCAATCCCACTATGAGGTATTTATTCAAAGTAAAGCAAATCAGTATGACAAAGTGATACCTGCACTCTCATGTTTATTGCAGCACTATTCACAACAGCAAAGATATAAAAGCACCCTAAATGTCAACAAATGAATAGATCAAGAAAATATGATTATTAACAGAATGTAATTCTATTCAGCCATAAAAAAAGAGTTAAACCATGTTATTTGCAGTAACATGACTGGAACTGGAGGTCATTATATTAAGTGAAATAAGCCAGACACAGAAAGGAAATGATCACATGTACTCACTCATATGTGGGAGCTAGAACAGTTGAATTTATGGAGATAGTATGTAGACTGATAGTTACCAGAGGCTGAAAAAGATGTGGATGTGGGAAGTGTCTGAAGAGAGGTTGGTTAATGGATACACACAGAAGGAATAAATTCTAATGTTTGATCACAGACTAGGGTGACTACAGTTAACAACACTGTATTGTACATTTCAAAATAGGTAGAAATGAGGACTTGAATGTTCTTAGCACCTAGATATGATAAATGCTTGTGGGTTTGGATATCCTAAATACCCTGACTTTATTATTATACATTCTATGCATGGTACAAAATATCATATGCCCCCCATTCCTATGTACAAGTGTGTAACAATTAAAAAAATACCTAAAGCAGAATTGACACAGATGATACAATTGGTAACCAATATGTTTAAGAAGCCAGAGAAAACATATATAATATTAAGTAAAGACATAGAATACAAAATATACTCTAAAGCCAATTTTATTGCTAAAAACGTCAGTGACTAAGGTGAAAACTATACTGGGATTAAATATAGAATAGACAATGAGATGTAAAGATTAAGCCATCTGTAAACATGCCAATATAAAGTATCTAAAGTGAACACTAGAGAGTAAAAATACTGATAAATGTGAAAAGGAGCACACCAATAAGATTTGGCACAACTTAAAGCAAACTAATATACATGTATTAGGACCCCCCAAAGGAAAGAAAGGAGTGAAAGGAAATTATATTTAAAAATAATAGACAATATAAACTCAATATTTCTACAAAAGCTAGGCACAAGGAACCTGAAAACAACTATAGCAATGAACATCTTAATCAGACTATGTAACAACAGTGGTAAAAACAAACATTCTAAAGCACCCAGGAAATAAAAGACATATCACAAGCAAAGGAACTAAAACAACGAGTAAAGGAAAAAAGATAACAGCATATCGTTTTTTGTTGTTTTTGTTAGAAACAATGCTAAGAAGTAAGCAGTGGTACAATATATTTATAGTATTGAGGTAAAAACGGCCGTCACCTTGTAATTCTGTATCCACTGAAAATATTTTTCAAAAATGAGAGTGAAATAAAGGCATTTGAGATACACAAAAGCCTCAAGAATTGGCCACCAGTAGACCTTTACTACAAGAAATCTTAAAGGAAGTTATTTATGTAAAGGAAGTTATTCATACAAAAGGAAAATGTTACCAAGTGGAAATCCTGGGTTATGCAGAAGAATGAAGAACACTGGAAATGTTTCTTATTATTTAATTAGTTTTAAAAATAATTTACTCTTCACAGCAAAAATAATGAGTTCTGGGTTTTATATGTAAAAATGTGACAATGATAGCACAAAAACTAGGAAGAGAGAAATGCAAGGAGAATGTTCTAAGTTTCTTATACTATATATGAAGTTGTATAATATCACTTGAATGTAACTGTTGTAATTTAAAGAGGTAGATCATAAACCAAAAAGAAAGCACTAAAATAGCCTAAGAATGAATTTAGCTAATAAAAATCAAAGGATAAAATTAAATTATTAAAAATACTCAAGAATAAAAAAGAAAAAAATGAAAAAAGAGAAAAAATAACAAAGCAAATAGAAAACAAATAGCAAGATGGTAAATTTAAACCCAAACCTTTCAACAATCGTATGAAATATACATGGTCTAAGTGAGCTAGTAAAAAGGAAGATCCTATAGAACTGGATAAAATAGGAATACCAAACTATATTTTGCTAAAAAGAAACTCACTTTAAAGACACAAGTAGGTTAAAAGTAAAGAGATGGAAAATACCTAATCTGGTTATACTAATCATAAGGAAGCTGGAGCATCTATATTAATATCTGACAAAATAAACTTCATAACAAATGAATGTTCCCAGGGATAAAAAGGGCCATTTCTCAATGATATATTGGTCAATTTAGGAAGAATATATAATCATTCTAAACTTTCATGCACCTCAAAACAGATTTTCAAAATAAGTCATACAAAAAGTATTTTAATTGTAAGGGGAAATAGAAAAATCCATAATTGCAGACAGAAATTTCAACATTCCTCTCTTTACACTTTATAGGACAAGTAGATAGGAAATCAGAAATGAAATAAAAGTTTTATAGAATACAATAACCAAATTAACCTAATTTACATTTGTAGAACATTTTCTCTCTTGATGGAATAATGTATTCTTTTCAAATGCATACAGAGCATGCACCAAAGCCAAACCTACTCTGGACAATAAAACAAGTGTCAAATTTAAAAGGATTCAAATCATACCACATATGTGCTGTGACCACACTAGAGTACAATTAGAAGTCAATTACAGAAAGACAGCTGGGAAATTCTCAGATATTATACTTTTAAATAACTTAAGCAGTAAATAAAGATCATTGAAATTGGCCAGGCGTGGTGGCTCACACCTGTAATCCCAGCAATTTGGGAGGGGGAGGCGGGCGGATCACTTGAGGTCAGGAGTTCGAGACCATCCTGGTCAACATGGTGAAACCCCGTCTCTGCTAAAATTACAAAAATTAGCCAGGTGTGGTGGCGCGTGCCTGTAATCCCAGCTACTGAGAAGGCTGAGACAGGAGAATCACTTGAACCCAGGAGGCGGAGGTTGCAGTGAGCCGAGATCACGCCATTGCACTCCAGCCTGGGAGACGAAGCCAGACTCTGCCTCTAAATAAATAAATAAAATAATAATAATAATTGAAATTATTTTGAACCATATGAATATCAAAGCAAAACATATGAAGAAATGTGTGATGTGGCTAAGGAAATGATTACATTGGAATTTTTAGCACAAGGTGCCTATATTTGAAATGAAACAAGGTGTTAACCAACCTCAGTGTTTACCTTAAGAAACAAACGAAAGAACAGCAAATTAAATCCAAACTAAACAGAGAAATATAATAAAAATCCAGAGTGAAAATTAATAAAAGATATAGTAGAAAAACAACAGAGAACACATGTAATAAAAATGTTAGTCTTTGAAAACATATATGGATGGCAAATGAGCACATGAAAAGATGATCTATAGTGCAAAATAAAATAAGATACAGTGACATACCTATAAGAATGGCTTATTTTTTTTAACTGACTATATCAAATATTGGCAAGAATATGGGATGACTGGACCTCTCATCTACTATTAGTGGGAATTCAAAATGATACAAATGCTTTCAAAAGAAGTTCAAAGTAGTCCTGAAAATGTTAAACATGCACTTACCATGTGTCCAGTCATTCTGCTCCTAGTTATATCTTAATAGTAGTAAACTCATATTTGTATACAAAGGCTTTACAAATGTTCACAGCAACTTTATATGAGCAAAAGCCACCCAAACAAACAGAACACACACACAAAATAACAAAGCAGAAGAACTCCAAATTATCCATCTACAGGTTTATAAATAAAGTATTTTGGTATATCCATACAATGGAATATTATTTAGCAAAAATAAAGGAAGAAACTATTAAACAGGCAATAACAATGATGGATTTCAAAATAATTATGCTGTGTGAAAGAAGTCAGACAATATAAAGTGTAAATAGTACATAATTTCATTTATATAATGTTCTCAAAAATACAAATGTATAGTGACAGAAAGCAGATGAGGGGCTACCTGGGGGTGGAAGTGAAAGGTAGGGGTAGTTGTGAAAAGATGAAAAGGAGGTTGGAGGAAACTTTTGGAAGTGAGGCATTTGTTTATTTTAATTATGACTGTGTTATCACAGAAGTATATATCAAAGCTTACAAAATTGTACATGTTAAATATGTGCAGTTCTCTGTATACCGAGTATCCCTCAATAAAGCTAAGATTTGTAATAATCGATTACACAACCTAACCTTTATATGTATAAATCTATAAATGTTACAAAATGTAACGGAGTGGTGCAAGATGGGATGCATTTTGTGGTGAACTAATTGTTTTTGAAATTGTACATATTCTTCCCTATGTCTAGATAGTGTGACATAATTGAATGTAAAATATCAAAATACCAGAATAATAGCCACTGATCTCAACTAAACAGCTAGCAAAATTTGGGCAGTATATTTATCCTCTCAGTTCATTTATGAAACATAGGGGTTTTCCTCAAACTCTTCCCAATTCTCTTGTTCTATATCTAAATCTAGGCAAAAAAATAAATAAACTTCTGGTGGAGCCCCACCCCTCAGTTGATGTATGACTATGTCAACAATGCCCTTAGATTAGACACAATGATACTCTTTCTAAAGTGCTAAATTTTCCAAAGTCTCAAAATATTCCGAATATGAGATTGATAAAGGAAGCAAGAAAATGTAAAACAAGGCCTATCTCCAGTATTGTAGCTCTCTTTTGGTAATCTTTACATATCTCTCTCTTCTCTCAGTTTCCTTTCTTACATGGAGGTATTTGTTTATATTTTCCCCAATACTTTCCATTTTGAACGTTAGTTATCATGGTATAAGGTTTCACATTCAACATTTCAGCAGTGATCACAGGAGTCACTAATTGTAACTGAAGTTTGAACGTTCAAGCATCTCATTACCCAAGTCTCTAGTTAGATATTAAAAAGTAAAGTAACAATTATAATTCTTAAAAATTTAAGAATTGCACAAAACTCTAAGGTAGGTATTATTTAGTTAACTGTACAGAGGTGAAACTGATAGAATAATGATTAAGTTATACTATCTATATGATGCTCTATACCCCACTCACATTTAGTCTAGATTGAAATTAAAACTATCCCTGCACAGTACTTTATCTTACAAAAATCACTCATATTTCATAAGCTATAATAAGATAAAAGCTTATGGATTTTGATGCCTAGCCTTCACCTTTCCTATTGCCATTATGTACAAAAGAAAAATTGATTCTGACCTTGAAGTCACAGTGTTAAAAATAAATCTCTGCAGCACTGATGTTTCTTTTCTGTCTCTGAAATAACTGTTTAAGCTCACTCAGGGGATTACTCTAATGATCTACTAGCTTTTTATAAGTTCTGAAAAGAAGTAAAAGAGAGGTTTGTGTAGGGAAGTGTTTATCAGTTCCTAACACATTTCAAGGAAAAATATACGTGTGTGTAAATGGTGCTGAGTATCCCCACACAGATATTTCATGTGGCCTATATCAATCAAGTTAATATCTACTATTGAGAGAACATGTATTTTCCAATCACCTTGGGGGAAAATTAATGTTTTATAATCCATAAACATATGGAATTCACAATGACAGAATATTTATTTAAAATATTTACTTACAAAGCCAACATGATTTTCAATTGATGGCATACATAAAGATGGGACAAATCATGCCTAGTAACAAGCAAATACACTTTATTTTAAATTTTCTAATTATGGTCCTTCATTAATCTTGATGTAAATTTAAATTAATGTTTTACTAACATATGCCTAATTGATCATTGTGGTACACATTCACTATATTACTTTTTATACAAATTTAGTTATGTTTATTGTAGAAGATAGACAAATTACACAAAAAAAGTATTAAAAGAGAAAATATACATCCCCTGATATATTACAAGAATGTAATTCTCTAATTTGAACTCCTACATAAGAAATCAACTGAGATTACAAAGGAAGTAGAAACTGACACAAAAAAATACTGTACAATCACCATCCTTGAGACAACTACGACTTTAATGAAATACATTTATTAAAACACAGA